>NC_000006.12:15514545-15666060 GCF_000001405.40 Homo sapiens
GTGACTGTGTCATGCCGTCTCACCCCGAGTCCTGGCGTGCCCTGTAGAAGAGGGAGGACACAGCCTCTCCCGGATGAGTCAGATCGTCAGATCGTCAGATCAGGGCTTTGTAACATTTGAAAGAGCTAAAAACTCGGTGTGTCCTCATCTCCTCCTTACCTAAGGACGCAAATCACATTGTATCAGATAGGCCCACCCTCATGGCCTCATTTGAGCTGATTTACCTCTTTAGAGGCCCTACCCCCAACTGCAGTCACAGCTGAGATCCTGGAGGTTCAACGTTTGCATTTGATGGGGGACAAATGCAGTCCGTGACCGCCCTGCCTCCTGTCCTGTAGATTTCCTTCTGTCTGGTTTTTTCCCCCAGACTTCTCAAAATGTATTACCTAGAGCCATTTGGTTCTTAAAAGAAAATGATGATAAGCATTTTCCCAGATCTTCAAAGTATCTTATAAACATCACTGATAAAAGCTGCATAGCTTGGTGTGCTCTCTCTCTGTTCTTTTTTTTTTTTGTTTGTTTGAGACAGTCTTGCTCTGTTGCCTAGGATGGAATGCGTGCTGTGATCCTGTCTCACTGTAGCCTCAACCTCCTGGTCATCCTCCCACCTCAGCCTCCTGAGTAGCTGGGACAGCAGGTGTACCACCACGCCTGGTTAACTTTTTTTTTTTTTGTGGTAGAGATGGGGTTTTGCTGTTACCCATAGGCTGCCTACTTCAGCCTCCCAGAGCCCCAGGATTATAGGCATGGGCCACTGCGCCCAGCTGTCCATCCTCTTGCTGGAACACGCTATTCATTTCCATGCACTGAGGGCTGTATGGTAGTTACACCTGGGGGTGAAGCTGGTCTGTCCCTGTGAGGTGGCACCAGGTGGCCTCATTTTCAAGCCATCCTTCAGAAACTTCAGAGTTGTCACCTGGCATTTCCTGTCAGCCTGAAAGTTATTTTAAGAAGAATGTATTGTGAGGCCGGGCATGGTAGGCCAATCCCAGTGCTTCGGGAGGCAATGGTGGGCAGATCACTCGAGGCCAGGAGTGCGAGACCAGCCTGGGTGACAGAGGGAGACTAATCTCTACAAAAAATACAAAAAATTAACTGGGTGTGGTGGCGGGGGTATCACTTGAGCCCAGAAGTTCAAGGCTACAGTGAGCCATGATCACACCACTGTACTCCAGCCTGGGTGACAGAGTGACAACCTGTCTCTTTAAAAAAAAAAAACAAAAACAAAAACCAGGCACGGTGGCTTATGCTTGTAATCCCAGCACTTTGGGAGGCTGAGGCGGGCCAATCACAGCCTGGCCAACATGGTGAAACACCATCTCTACTAAAAATAGAAAAAATTAGCCGTGCATGATGTTGAGCGCCTGTAGTCCCAGCTACTCGGGAGGTGGAGGTTGCAGTGAGCCGAGATCGCGCCATCGCCCAGGTGACAGTGCGAGACTCCATCTCAAAAAAAAAAAAAAAACCCGTTATAAATCCATAGGCAAAAATTGGGGTTTGACTTATACGTTGACAGTTTGCATTGCTTGGATTACTAATACATTTGTGAATTTAAATTTGATGTGTTTCCTGTTCTTCCTGTCCTTGGCCCCGTGTCTCTCCAAGGTCTTGTTTCTGTCAGTAGGTGGCATTCCCACACTCCTACAACGTGTTCTCTGTTCCTTGCTTAGAAACACCGCAGACGAAAACAAGTCCTTCCCCTCAAGCTTTCTGAGAAAGGCCTATGACTCTTCTCCTCTTGAGTGTTAAGACTGAATTTTTCCTTATTTTCAAACTCAGAATTAGAATAGGACTTGGAGTCAGCGTGAAGTATGGGAGCCCTCCGGCAGAAGCCAGGTGGCTGTTTCCTTTCATCCGGCCCCTCTCAACCCTAGACAGGCCCCCAGTGAGGGTCTCTGTCCCAGCACTCTCCTGTGGCCTCAGGCAGCAGGGTGTCCACTGGCGGGACAGCTGTGGGCTTTGTGGACAGCCCGCCCAAGGGGGCCGGGGCTGGTGGGTGAGGTCATCGGCGTCACAGCGGTCAGGAATCTGTGATGTTGAGGGTTTTGGGGGAGTTTGCATGGGGTCGTTGGACGCCGCTTGCTCTGTTGACTGTGAGCCACTCATGGACCACCATGAGAACCTGTTTTGCTGCTGGAAAGTCAAGGGTGCGTTCCCCGGGTGGCCGCCTAAGTTGGAGTCCTCCATGTTCCACATCTATTCCAGCACTAGGGTGGTTTCAAACACAGGATCTCAGGAGCCCTCAGAACTCAAGAGATGAGAAATACGCACCCCTCACTGTCTTTAGCAGCCTGGTGGTGACTGAACCTCTCCCAGGAAACTCCAGCAGAAATCTGGAGGGGACTTGAGGGCCACTCCCAGGTCTAACTCAGAGGTGGTCAGTTACTCACCTTCCTAGTTGAAGACCATGTTCCAGGTGTTTGGTCAGTTTTCGTTTTAGTCCATTTCCAGCATTTCCAGTCCTCAAAGCCCTTGGCCCGGGTGGTGGGTGCTGGGGCTACTCTGGCGCGGGCAGTGGGTGTGGTGGCTGCCCGGCCGGGCGTGCTCCTACCTTACCCTCCCAGGGCGCTGTGGAGCTGCCTCCTGACCTTCGGGTGTCCTGCTCTTGCTTGCAGGTGGTACAAGAGAACGAAAACGTCGTGTTCTGTCTGGAGTGTGCTCTGCGCCACGTGGAGAAACAGAAGTCCTGCCGAGGGCTGAAGTTGATGTACCGCTACGATGAGGTCAGTCCCTGCCCGCGGGGTAGGGCAGGGCGGCAGCGTGGCGCCTTCCCTGCTCCCGGCTGGATGTAGGCACTCCGGCCTGGCAGTTCTGTGCCTGGCGGGTAGTCAGGGCTCTGCAGGCCTGAGGTGCCCTGTTCTTAGGCCCTAAACCCATTCAGGCCCCATGTTAGGATCCCAGGGGGAGCGGGGTTCCTGCACGGGCATTTGGATTTGAGCAATGGGCTCTTAACAGGGCTGAGGCTCTTCCTGCAGCCGCCCCCCCGGCTTTCCCAAGGGCTGCACCACTGTGGTTTAGACCCAGACCCTTTTTTGTGACCTGTCCCAGGCACAGTGGGATGGTTGGCAGTGGCCTCTCCAATCTGCACTAACTTGACACCAGCCCCTTCAGGCTGAGAGAGCTGGAAGTGTCTGCGGACACTGGGGCAGGACGGGCCCCATGATGTGAAATCCCGGTGCCTTCCTGCAGGTGCCACGCTCTTCTGGAGAGGGGGGTCATAACAACACACAGCCTGTGCAGCTGGGGGCCGCTCTGAGTGGCGGAACTCCTGGCAGCAGTGCCTCTCCCCTGCTCTGCCCGCCTTCCCCACGTGTGCTTCCCACAGACTCTGATGAGGCTGGTTACGAGGAAGGTCGCCACATTGTGGTCATTGCACATTTGAGGCCACTGAGTGGGGTGGGTGCTGCGGGTATGACTGTGAGGGGCCTGGTGTGTCTGGGGGCCCAGGCAGTGGGGCCAAGTGGTGGGTCTCACTGGATAAGCCTTGAGCTAAATGATCGGAGAGCTGGAAGAAGAACTCTTTGCATCTGTTTTGTTTCAAAGAGCATGCTGGGTGAAGGCAGTAAGCACCTGCTGTGTCCCTCCTTCACCTTAGCAGCAAATGTCCAGGCACAGTTGCAAATAACGAAGCCTTTGCGGCTGAGCACGAGCATGGCTCTGGCACCTTGTGGGGGTGCAGGCGGCGGCACGGGGAGGCTTCCTCTGGCTGCCTGGAAAGCGCTCTGTGAATCATGGGTTGTACCTCTCACCAGCAGCCTGTTTCTGTAGTCGGATGTGTGACGTGACCAGATCCTGGGAAAAGAATGGCATTCAGGGGCTGTCTGAGACCTAATGGTTGGTTTTGATGAATTAGGAGCAAAGGTATTTGGAAACTGCATACTCTGTAGTGGCTGAGTAGTTCAGTAAGCATGTCTGTGCCTCTGTCCCCTGTTGAGCTGTGCATTTTTTTGTTTTTAAGACGGAGTCTCGCTCTGTCGCCAGGCTGGAGTGCAGTGGCGTGATCTCGGCCCACTGCAAGCTCCGCCTCCCAGGTTCACGCCATTCTCCTGCTTCAGTTTCTGGAGTAGCTGGGATTACAGGTGCCCGCCACTACGCACCCGGCTAATTTTTCTTTTTAGTAGAGACAGGGTTTTACCATGTTGGTCAGGCTGGTCTCAAACTCCTGACCTCAGGTGATCAGCTTGCTTCAGCCTCCCAAAGTGCTGGGATTACAGGCGTGAGCCACCACACCTGGCCCATTCTTTTAAATAGGAAATTTCTACCTTGTAAACAGAGACCATTGCAAAATCTTCTCAACCTCCCAGTGTGCCCAGTACACAAATCACCCATGTCT
Source organism: Homo sapiens (assembly GCF_000001405.40). Lineage (NCBI taxonomy): Eukaryota > Metazoa > Chordata > Mammalia > Primates > Hominidae > Homo > Homo sapiens. Next base: position 15,518,879 of record NC_000006.12, read on the forward strand.
GGGCCTGCTGACCCGGGACAGTCTGCTTTAAACACCCACCCTTGCTGGGGTGGGGGGTGCACCTAGATTGCAAATCCCTGAATTCATGGCTTGGGTTCTCATGGATGGTGAAGCTCTCTGGGGAGTTTGGAGCCATTTGTGTCTCTGGCCCTTGCAGGCTGGCTGAGCAGGGTGTTGGGCCGCCTGCCGCCGAGCCTAGTGTGAGAGCACTGGTCTGGGGCAGGTGCTGCCCACCTGTCGAGCTGCACGCAGGGGAGGGAACGGTGTCCTCCTGTAACCGCACACTGCCGCTCCTCCTCACTTGTCCTTATGGTAAGGTAGCAGTAGCCGCCTAAATGGGTTTTATGGCAGCTCATCCACTTATCCTTTATCAGTGTTTATCATCAGTACCTCAAGCAGCCATGACTATGGTGTTATTACAGATACGTGTGGACCGCCCCGCCTTCCGAAGGCACCTTTAACTTGTGATGGGAGCCAGCTGTCACTTTCTCACCCTCATCTTGAGGGCTTTTCAGAGGACTAGAGATCAGGCCCTCAGATGTTTCATTCCATGGCTGGCTTCCTCTCCTGCCAGGGTCAGCATGGTTCCCAGCCACCCGTGGCCCAGAGAGATGCTCATAAGATGCACGTTTGCTACTCCTCCCCATGTTGTTTTTAAAAATGATATGATTATAGGATGTACTGTGTGAAAGTTACAAACACAGTTTTTGGTGCCGACAGATAAATGATTCTCTTGAGTGAATTACAAGGATATGTATAGGTTGAGAAGTGTTTGCATTTACTTGCATGGCCAGGTTCAGTGGCCGGTAGCTAAAGTGAGTCAAGTAGCTTGGGTATTTGTGTCACCATCCAGGATGTAACAAAGCCCCTGGGTCTCTTTGCTGAGTGCTCCGTGGTAGAGGCAGTGCTCTGGGCTCCCCTGCCAGCCCTGCCCTTATGAGCAGGCAAAGCATGGTGGACCAGGGTGTTGATGAGGATGAAACGGCCATGCCTGCTATGTGGCATCAGGAGGAGCTGGGAAAGGGAGACTCACTGCATCTGAGCCTCTCGGGGTTATTTTAAAACCTGTTGGTTGGTGTGGTGAAGGGGACCGCTGCCCTCTGCCCTAAACTTGCCCCTGCATGGCTCTCAGGGACAGAGCTCTTGTTAATACGGTATGTTAACTGTGTCTTCCTTTCACCCCCAAACAGGAACAGATTATCAGTCTGGTCAATCAGATCTGCGGCAAAGTGTCTGGTAAAAACGGCAGCATTGAGAACTGTCTCAGTAAACCCACACCAAAAAGAGGTCCCCGCAAGAGAGCGACAGTGGACGTGCCCCCCTCCCGTCTGTCAGCCTCCAGTTCATCCAAAAGTGCTTCGAGCTCATCATGAAGATGCCAACGCCCGTGGTCGATTTATATATATTTTTTTGTAATTATTATATTCTAGTTTGGAGTACTTGCTGTAGGATTCAAGCTGTCTTTGCACTAGCTCTAAAGAAGATTTTCTTCTGGTTTTAGAGAACTAATTTTGTTTTAGCATTAAACTGTTGAACTTTTTTTTGTACTTAGAAAACCTAGATACTGCAGTCAGATTTTGGAAACTGCCGTATAGTCACTGTTTTAAAAACCCCGGAGGGGCTGTATTAATTTGTATTGCCCCATGGCTGACAAAAGCCTTTTTTTTTGGTTTTGATTTTTTTTTTTTTGTAACTGTTGGGGGGAAAAAGGCTTTTTAACCCATTTTTGAAGAGGGTGAAGTTTGGAGAACAAATTTAAAAACCATCAGTCATGTGAGCAGATTTTTTAGAAGGGATAGGAGACACACGCGCACACACACACACACACGAAACTTGAAATGGCTTTGCTTTGGCTGTCGTCTTCTGCCGTGTGCCAGATGAGCTTGTGATCTGGGAAGCCGGGGCACCCCCGTTTTGTTTCTCTGGGCGGTTGTGGCAGCTGAAGGCGGACGTTGTTTCCTAACCATAGGTGGAACGAGGAGACGGGAGCGAGTGGGCTCTCCACCAGCACATCACTATGCATCTGTTCCAGGAAAGAAGAAAAGCGAGCGAGGAAGACGGAAAAGACTGCCTGCCTTGGAGGGGTCACATGAGGGAGACCTGTGCCTGATTTCATTAGGAAATCCATTCTGTTATTTTTTGGTGCTGTTGGCTACTTTATCAAAAAACCCTTCAATAGCATCCTTAAGATTTAAAAAAAAAAAAAAAAAAAAGGAAAAAAAAGTGATGGAAGCCGTAAGTGCTTCTTTGTCATCGACGTGCAATCTTTCTAACATTCCATCTCCATCTCACCGCTTCTTGTTTGACACCTTCACAAGTCAGCATTAATCTTTCTTTTAAAACTTGTTTCATTTATGATCATGTAGAGAGCCACTAGGAGGCCTGCAGTTATTTTTGAATGTGAAAATGCATTTGCGTTCATCTTGTCTATTTTTTCTCTTCATGTTGTAACAAAAAGGAAAAAAGAAAAAAAAATCCCATCCCTTTTGTACATATGCCTGTAAATTGTTTTAAATACTTGAGCCTTTTTCTCGGTGGGGGGTGGGGAGGGGGGTGAGAAGACAAGATGAAGAAAAGCCTTACATTTCAGTTTCTTCATCGGTTGGATTGGATGCTTACAGGGTTTTTCTTGTAACATTTATAAGTGCTGCTTACATCACTGAACAACAACAAAAAAATAATAATGGAGTAGCTGTTGCCCTTCTCCGGTTGTGTGTACAGTATGTGTGGAATAAAAAAGGGAAACTGTTTTCACAAGCTGTTCTTTGTTTCATAATTGGATTCATCAATCCCGTAGCTACCCATATTGCACTGAGCTTGCCAGTGGTGACTGCCAGGAACGTCCTATGATCCACTTTGTTGGTTGTTGTTGCAGAAGACTGAACTGTTTTGGAATATTTAACAATTACAGAAACAGTCAAGTGTTTTCCAATGTGGTTGTCCGGTTTCTATGGCCTTGCTGTGTACTTTCCCTCTTTTTGACAGTAAACTTCTGCCTATGGCTTACAGTTTGACATTTAATTTATTAGCGCTGCTCTGCACCCCTCCCTTGGGAGGGAGACTTCATGTGGTTTATTGCGAGTTTTTTGTTTACTTTTCAGGTTTGTACTACAAGGTTTAATAATAAAAACAAAGTTTTTTGGACATTTGTCTGTCTTGTGGAAGATGACTGAATGGAATGAGCTCTTTCTTTTCTCGTCCACGGGCAGGGGGCAGAGGATTCCCCCCAGCCAGGGAGCAGAGCCACCCCCCACACTGCAGTCCTGCTCCCACCTGCCACTGGGTCCCCTTCAGCCTAACCTAATGGTTTCCATGTGGCCTGCGGCCGTCCCCCTCATTTCCCATCGAGCTGCGCCCCCCTGCTGAGCTTGCTTTCATGATGAGACGACACTGGGTGCATTCAGGGTGGTATGGCTGCAGACAGACAGACCCCCTCATCCCGGCGGGGAGTCTGTCCCCTCTCTCTCATTGGGCTGGAGGAGTGATGGCAGGAACACATCTCCAGGGGACCAGTTTCTTTTCATAAAGAATGGAGGATTGCTTTGGGCTTGTTTCTGTTCTTTTGGGCCCAGGAGTGTGAAAAAGTAGGGGTTGGACTGGCTGGCTACTGGACTAATGATACTTACTTACTTCTGTAATGATCAACGGAAAACCCCAAGCTTTGCCAGAGTGGTTTGGCTACAGTCAGCTCTTCTACAGGAAGTGGCATTTTCCACTTGTGAAACGGTAGGTCATTCCCTGCCTCATGCAGAACTCAGCCCTGTGGAGCCTCCACCACCTGGCCCAGGCCCTGCCCACATGCAACCTCCCGGGGTGGCCCTCAATGACCTGCACGTCCCTTCACTCTAAGGAACCCTGAGTTACAGTGGCCTTAAGGACATGTGTATTTAGAAGCCTTTGTGTACAAACTAGCTCTGTGCGCTCTCAGTTTACCGTCCTCACACTTTATTGTTAGCTGTTCTTTAAGTTTCTCACACATTATTGGCAATTATGTAAAAATCAAGAACCTCTATAAAACAACCTGGCTTTCCAGGTGGAATTCCGCATACAGCCAAAACTGGATTCCAGTGTGGCCAGACAACGCCCATGTCCCAATTTAAGAGTCGCTGTCCTCACCACCATCCGGAGTGGCCTCTCTGTCAGTGTGTGATGTGGCCAGGGCAGTGTCCACCTGAACTTCCTCCTCATCGGACTGAACAACGGGGGACTCCCCACCCTCACTGATGTCCCGGGTGGCCGAGTCGGTGCAGGTGGAGGAAGAAGAAGGTGGCTTGGCTCTTAATTCTGAGGGATTTGGAACCTGGAGGGTAATCTCATTCTGACAGGTACTGGATTCAGGCCCTGCAAAATAACGTAGGGAAGAAAAAGCCCTGTCATAAAAATATTGTGAATCAGAATTGCCGCCAACAGCTGTGGAATGTGCCCGTCATGAAAGGGGGGTGTGGTTTTTGTTCCAGGCACCTGGGGCCTGCAGAACTTGGGAACTGCCCTGGAAGACACTGAGCTGAGCGATGCCAGAGGCAGCCTCAGGCCCTGCGGTGACCCTTCTGTCCCCTAAGGAGTCAGCCACATGTGACACAGATCAAGTGCTCCTAAGGCTGTAATACGCGTGTAATAGAGGCCCAAAGGCAAGTGCTGCCTATCTTTGAGGAGCAGTCCTTGTAACCTTGATAATCTAGATTTCTTTTTTTTTTTTTTACCCTTTGCAGTAATTCAGAGACACCACTGCTGAGAAAGTCGGAATTACTGACCTTCAGCAGTTCTCCAATTTTATGGAACTAAATAGGCTCTTCAAGGAATCAAAATTCTATATGCAGGTGTCACTGTTTCTAAATCTTCCCCTGACTCTGGGTGAGGGTTCACGCTGGTCTCCAGTATTCTGGCCTTCTCAGGATGAGGGCAAATGCACCCAAGCTCCTTCTCTTCCCCAGGATGACACCGTTCTGACAGATTGCCAGGAGAAGCGGGTGAGAAGTTTAGAGGAAGCTGAAACCGTGGTAATGGTAGAACCTTCTACAGATGGCTGAGGTGCTGCTGGGACGACTGAGCTTTGCCTTGACCCAGCCCAAAGAACTGGTCTGAAATTTGAAACGCACCAAGCCCAGGTACAGGTCTGGCACCTCAGCCCATATTTGCTGCATGAATGTGAAACAAAATTTTGTGAAGGGATGAAAGGAACTGAAGTGCAACTAAGTTTACAACACAGGCCAAGAGCTGAACACACACCATGGCTTTGCCCATGGCAGGCACGCCCCTAAATGCCTGTCGCACGAAGAGGGAAGAGTTTCCCGTGAGCCCCGCAGGAGAGTCCGCACCTCCCTGCAAACGCCAGTCCTTAACCACAAGGAGCAGACTCAAATGGATTTCTGGGTGGTAAAGGAGGGAAAACAAACAAGAAAGCTCTCAACTCACCAAAGTTACCGGAGTGGAGCATGTCAAATCTTTGAGAAGAATTCATGACGGAACCACACCACTGTTGCAGCTGCCACACAGCCGTGTGGAACCGTGGGGTTAGGGAGCCAGGAGCTGGCTGTGAGCTTGGGGGTTTATGCGTAAGTGACTGGCAGATGGTTCTCACGTCTCACCTTTGGAGGGGAGTGGCATCGATACTGCCCTGGTTCAGCTAATGCAAGTTTGTCAACCCTACCTAAGGCGGGGGACAGCACAGTGTTCTCTTCTCCTCCAGAGTTCAGGAAGACGTCCAGGGCCTCCTGGTCCGATATGTCCATCAGGTCCATCTGCTCCAGCATGTCCACGTTCACTTCCATGGATGACATGCTGCCTATGGGCTCTGCGGATAGATCAACACGAGAAAGGACACGCTGTCTTTAATATTACTTTAAAAGGTGAACTTCCATTGGCATTAGGCTAACTACATTGCATTTCCTAAGCTTCCTTCAAAATGGAATTTGAAGCAACGTATTAGTAGATGACATATGCCAGTCTGGCACTTTAAATGCATCCTAAATCACCCTTGGCAACTATTATTACCTTTTACACTTCCTTAATCTGTTCATCCCCAGCCCTTTGGGACGCTGAAGACTAATCTCTGCATTAAGTGAGTCCCGGCTGTTTTGAGTAGGACGCTCAGCCTGTCTCAAAGAGGCCAACATTCCTGCAGCAACAGTTAGCGACCTTCCTCCCTGCCAGCCACAGCTCTGCTTCCTGCCTACAGGTGCCCTGAACCTTCCCGGCAGGCGCACTCCTCTAATTGCAAGTGGAGTTTCCACTGGCCTTGGAACATTTCTCGGGCCTAACGGCAGAAGGGGTTTGACCTACATCTGTAAGCTGTAAGAGCTCCCTGCAGTGGAAGCACAGACTAGGAGAAAACAAAACCCAGCCCACCAGCAGACGGCGACCCCATGAAACAGCACATGCCTAGTTGGCCTCTGCCCGGGCACTGAGCACGGGATGCCCCACAGGTCTTTACTCATAGGCAAACGACCTCTATGGTCCAGAAAACCACAAGCCACGTAAGTTATCCTAGCCATGGGGAATGCCTGGCAGAAGCAAATGCAAATTATTTCTGGAAGGACTCTCCCTTAACCTTGGTTTAAACAAAGTCAATCCCAACCCAATCTGGCATTTGTAACACACATGAAATGAGCCACTCCGAGTGAAGGGCAGCAGAAACAAACATCATCCTCGCTGAAGAATATGAGATGGCTGTTCATACACCACAGTCACAGGAAAGGTGAAGTCAAAAACAAGGTGTCAAAAATAAGGACAGACATTTGAAAGCCAAATAATGACTAGGTAGAAGAGACTGAAATCTCAAACTCGGGGCACAGTCACAGCCCAATAGAAAATTAATAAACTAGAAGGCAGGATGAGTAAATCTGCCATAATGCAGCATAGAAGAACAAAGAAAGGAAATACAAGAGAGCATAAAAGGTACGAAAGATGCAGAAGCGTAGCATCTGGTCACATTTCCCCGAAGCCAAGAAGGGGAGATAACTCTATTCAAAGAAGCTGATGAGTTTCCCAAATCGATGAAAGACCTCAGGACCCAGATTTAAAAAGCAAAACATTCCAAGCAAGATCAAAGCAATCTTCACCTACACCAATTGCTTTGAAGTTGAAGAACATCAAAAGACAAAGGCTCTCTAAAAGGCAGCCAGAGAGAGAGGGCAGGCTAAGAAAGAGAAGGAAATAATTAGGATGACAGGCAACTCATGAACAACAATAATAAAAGCCAGAAGACTGCGGAGTAAGTTCAAAGAGGAGAGAGAAATGTCATCTCTAAAATGGTGTAACATTAGGTATCGTTTAAGATCCAGGAGAAAAGCAGAGACCAAGAAGAAACACGTCATTATGAGCCTGCTCTCGCTAGAGGCATAGTGAAGGAAGGGCTGAGTGCAAGAAAGCATGTTAAGCAAAGAGACGTGTGAGTGTGTGAGTTAATGTAAAACCTGGAATGGAACAGTCATAACGAGGAGTCACCAAGGCCAAATTACCCTCCTGAACAAAGACACGGGGGTGGAGAGGAGGGTGCTTAGAGCCACAGCGACGTGAGATTGCGGCTTCATCTGGGAGGAAAGTGAGTCTCATTATCCTCAGGCTCAGAAAATCACTAAAGTTCAGCACTTGAATGAGAGGTAAGAGTAATTCCTATTTTTAGTTGGGGAAAAGTATTATGGTTTAGATGATCCCATGCTTGGCGGCATCACCCTCGCCAACTGAGCCAGCCTGCTCTGCCTCGGACTTGGCCGGGGGTTGAGCCCAGCCGCACAGGGACAGCAGTTCGCTGGGCTGGATCTTCAAGGCTGAGTGGTCAGGGGAATTTGAAGGCACGCTGGTCAGGCTTGTTCTTTTTGGGGGCACGCTTCTGAGGGTTTCCTTTCTGACCTACGGAAGCCTTTCGCCAAGGCCTGTCTTTTAGATCGTGGCTTCTGACTTCAGTTTTGAAAGTTTGTCTGTGCCATCTTCTTGAAAAGGGCAGGAGAGAAAAAACTGGACTAAGAAGCATAAGAAAAGCTTTCAGGAAAATTCTGTAGCAACAAATAAGATGGTAATGGGTGTGTCAGTGATCACAGGAAATGTCAATGAGCCAAACTTGTCAGTTAAGAGATTATACAACTAAACTAAAATAAAATCTAGCTACCTTCTGTTTACAGGAGACAAATATGGAGACACAGAAACATGCAAATGTTTCTTAAAAAATGAAAAGATATAATGAGGAAACAAATAATTAAGAAGAAAGCTGATACAGCTGTATTAATATCAAAATAGATTTTAATGGGAAACAAAAGTAATATTGGGATAAAGAGTAGTACTTAATGACTTTTAAATGGTTCAATTCACCAGGAAGATAATCTAAAACTTCTATTTTTGGTTACGTTTTTAAAGTAAAAATATGGCAGAATGACAATGAAAACATAATATCCATAATCTTGGGGGCATGTCACTATACCTATTTGATGACTGACATCAGCAGTCCCAAAGTTAGTAAGAGAAATCGAAATCCCATTCTCCAATCACAATGAAATTTAGTTAGAAATTGGTAACTGCTAGGAAAACTTTCACACATCTAATTATTTTTAAAAAACATTTATAAACAGTTCACAAATCAAATATGAAATGCTAATGATAAAATTTACCCAGAAATTATGAATGTCAAAATTTGTAGGATTCAGCTAAAATGGTACCCCTGCAAGAAATCCATAGCTTTGAATGCCTTACTAGAGAGGAACGCTGAAAATCAAGCCTGAATATTCAACTTGGGTTAGAAAAAAACAATAGCCCAAAGAAAGCGACACTGAAGAGAAGTTAATGAAACAGTAGAAAGAACAAAGAAGCTGGTTCTTTAGGGGAAAAAAGCTTAAAAATGGTTATGTTCTGGGTAAGACTCATCGTAAATAGAGATGAAAGGAATAAAAGGCACATGAACAATTTTAAACATGCAAAAGCAAGCCTAACCAGGAACACAGCTAAGGGGGAGACGCACACCATGGACAACGTTATGCTGACATATCTGACAACTAAAGACAATTCCATGGAAAACTTGCCAAAATTAACGAGAAATAGTAAATCTCTATAACTATCAGAAAAAAAGAATAGGTAACTCTTCAAATAGAGTAGTCACTGGTAACAGCATTGGAGGCAAGTTCTACTCAACACTCAGGAATGCATGAGACACGTGCACTTGCAGAAAGATCCAATACCACTAAGAGGTCCAGTGTGTCTCCGTGCAGAAACTTACTGCAATTCCGCTCAAACTGTAGACAAGGTTCGTCAACAAACTTGAAACTGTAACACTTATACCAACGGACAAGACCCCAAGAAGAGTCATGGCAACTATGAAGAAAATAAATGCACACAGATGTGCAGAGCAGGTCAGGAATGGCTCCAGCAGACTCAAGCTTCACTAGAAAACATTTTCTCAGCTCCAGCACTCCTGACACTTTGTGCCAGATCGTTCTTGGTTGTGGGGTGTCCTGGGTAGTGTGGGGTGTTTAACTGCATCCCTGGCCTCTGCCCACTAGATGCCAATAGCACACCCTTACCACCCCAGGCACGACAACCAAAATGGGTCTCCAGACATTGCCAAATGTCCCCTTGGGGGCAAAAGTGTCCCCAGCTGAGAACCAACACTTGATGACTAAGTAGACTACAGTATGGTTTTGGCTCAGGGACGGGCGGCAGAAGAATGGAGCCGAAAAGAGAGGCTTGAAGATTCCTGAATATACAGAAACTGCCAAAGGTGTCGTTTCATTCCAACAGATTAGCAAAAATTTAAAAATCTGATGCTACCAAGTGCCGGCGAAGATGTAATCAGAATGTGCATATGTGGCTGAGGAGACTATAAACTGGTGCAAATGTTTTGGCAAGAAATTTGACAGCATCTAGTGAAATGAAAGACAGCCATGTCATTGTGACCAGTAATTCCTCTCCTAGTTATATACCCTAAAGAAATGGTTTCCAAAGTGTGGTCCCCTCAGCATCACCTGGTAACTTGGTTATAATGCAAATCCTCAGGCCCCACCTCACACCTGCAGTGGGCCCAGGAATCCATGTTTGAACAGCCCTCCAGGGGACTGTGGGACTGCTCAAGCCTGAGAACAGCTGGTCTTAAAGCAACTCTTACGTATATGTACAGAGAGAGAAATTATAAGAATGTCCAAGGCCGGGTGTGGTGGCTCACGCCTGTAATCCCAGCACTCTGGGAGGCCCAGGTGGGAGGATCACTCGGGCCAAGGAGTTCGAGACCAGCCTGGGCCACACAGTGAGACCCTGTCTCTCCAAAAAAATAAAAAATTAGCCCGGCATGGTGGTGCACACCTGTCGTCTCAGCTACTCGGGAGTCTGAGGTGGGAGAACCACTTGAACCCAGGAGTTCCAGACTGCAATGAGCTATGACCACGCCACTGCACTCCAGCCTGGGTGACAGTGAGACTCCATCCTAAAACAAACAAAAGTCCATGCCGGCATTGTTTTTATTAAATAAGAAAACTGGAAACACCCATCAATACATCAATGAATAAATTACATTTATTCAATGGAAATAAATATTTAAGGATGGAAATCAAATTAGAGGTGAATATATCAGTATGGATGATTCTCAAAATCATAGCACTTAGGTGCACTGTTGCCTGTTAATTCTATCTTTTCTAACTTTATTGTAATTTTATCATTAGCCCCAAACCTCGTTCTCTTCCCAGGGCACTGGGTCCACGCTGGAGCATCCCAGAGCTGATCAATCCCTCTGGAAGCAGGGACACCCCTGGCTCCATAGGATTCCATTTTGCTGAACTACTGGTTCAGAAACACAAGAGCCTGACATCTATGGGAACACAGAGCCAGAAAACCCAGGCACAGACCAGGACATCTCCGAGGTGATTTATTAATAAGTAACTGCAGGATATCCTGACACTCAGCAATAAAATCAAAGCAATAAAAATGCTTTTCTAAGAAAATGGCAGTCATGTCAGGCAGAAGATCAAACCTGGGCTAGGGCCTTACAAAACATCTAATTATATCCTAACGGCATGGAGAGGCCTGTGGGGCATGTGGTGGGGCCCAGGCCCCCTCTGCTGCTCAGCCCTCCCGGCACCGCCTTCAGTCCTCAAGCCTGAGAGCCTCTGTGCTTGGGGGGCCACCTGGCCTCAGCACCATCCAAGTGGGCACATATGTGCCTTCACCCCTTCCTCTGATGATTCTCTGGATAAAACTTTCCATGGCCTTGTCTTAATTAAGAAATGATGCTTCTGAAAGTGAAATTCCAACTGCTATTTCTGATTTAGTGGAATGAGTCCAAAACACCATGTTCGCTGTAGAGTTTTTAAAATTTTGATTGATTCTCCTAAATTAATACTAATCCTTGGAGATGAAGATTCCTCCCTAAGAAAGGTGCTGTGGCTCATCAGGCTGGGAAGTCTGAGCCGGCTCTGCACAGACGTGCGATGAGATGCCCGATTCCCGTGTGTGGCTGTCTCTCAGCTCTAGCTCAAGAGAAAGCTAAAAAGCCCAGGGCCGCCAATTTTCTTCTTCAAAGCTTTCAAAACCATATATTGGCGACATGTGCCTGATTTTTACCTTAAAAAAATGAGCCCAGCATTTTCTTGAAACTTAATCTTTGAGATACTCAAAACCACAAAAATTTAACCACTTCATATTTCCTTGCAGGTATTTCCAGCAGGTATCTGCTAGACGCGTTCTCTCTGCCAGCCCGCTGACTTGCTAGCTGTGGAGCAACTGCAGTACGTGCCCGTCCCTGTCACCAGGGGCTGGCCATCAACAGAAGCTGCTCCTTCCAAGCCGGCCACGCGTCTACTACTTCATCATCCTCTCGGGGGTGCATCCACGGCTCTCCCTACAATGGGAGCTTCCTGAGAGGCACTTTCATTTCTCTGTGCTTCCTCTGGGCTCACCAGCAAGTGCTAAACTGAAGGAAGATAGAGTTAAATTGTTTAGCAATCAGAGTTTCTATGACTGTCCATCATCACTGCATCTCTTCTATGACATGAGACATTGGTGCGATGTGTCATTATGTTCAAATGTGTGGGTCGGCCAGGGTGTATCTGTATGGACTGAATGTGTCCCCATAAAATTTGTATGTTGAAGCCCTAACCCCCAATATGAGGATATTTGGAGCTGGGGCCTTTGGGAGGTAATTAAGTTAGATGAGGTCAGATGGACATGGCCCCTGTGGTTGAGATTAGCCCTAATACCAAGAGATAGCAGAGAGCTCCACCCTACTGTTGGCCACGTGCACACATAGGGAGAAGGGGGCCGTCTATAAGCAAGGAAGAGAGCCCTCATCAGAAACCGATCGCGCCAGCATGCTGATCTTGGATCTGAGGCCTCCAGAACTGAGGGAAAATAAATGTCTGCTGTTGAAGTCACCCAGTCCATATTGTTTTGTTATGGCAGCTGGGGTAAGACAGTGTCCTTCTCGGTTTCTACCCTTAACAGGATAAAAATCCCTGGAGCAAACCCTCTCCTTCCTCCCAAAGGAGCCATGGGAAGCCACTCTCTACAATTTGCAGCAAACACGGAAGCACCAGAATCCTGCACGTATGCTCGGAGGAAACGCACAGAGGACAAATGCAGGGTCGCAGGATACAAGAATGGCAAAGGCTGACTCCAGAGAACGTTGTTAAGCTTCAAATCTATACTGTGCATTGGAAGGTAAACAAGCATCATCCACACAACTAACTGACTGCATTCACCAGCACACTCTGAAGTCTTCAACTACTGCTATTAATCTATTTTTCTCAACATTATTTTCTTTCCTCATTCTTGGATTTCTTTTTATTTATGTATTTATTTTTTGAGATGGAGTCTTGCTCTGTCGCCAGGCTGGAGTGCAGTGGCGCGATCTCAGCTCACTGCAACCTCTGCCTCCCGGGTTCAAGTGATTCTCCTGCCTCAGCCTCCTGAGTAGCTGGGACTACAGGCACATGTCACCACGCCCAGCTAATTTTTGTATTTTCAGTAGAGACGAGGTTTCACCATGTTGGCCAGGATGGTCTCCATCTCTTGACCTCGTGATCCACCCACTTCGGCCTCCCAAAGTGCTGGGATTATAGGCGTATGCCACTGCGCCTGGCCTCATTCTCGGATTTCTTTAACCTCTCCTTGGAGGGGACACAGAACTGGATGACAAGGAAGAAACACTCCTGGGAGATGTGGTTGGGGGCAGGATAGAGAGAACAAAGGCCAGGGCCAGGCAAGGCTGGGGAAAGGATGAAGGCTGAGATTTGGGGGGTGAGGGAGGTGTCCAGAAGATGATGAGACGTTCAGGAGAATGGGAGGGCAGGAAAACAGGGCAAGGTTTGGACGGGTCTCCCCGCTGCCGGGGGTCTGGTACTGCCTGTGCAGCGCAGGCTGGAGGGAAAATGTAAGCTGCCCAGTGCCGCTGCCCTGCCCACCCCTGCTGCACCTCTGAGTCACTCAGTTCTTCCAAAGGAAAAGCTGGGAAGAAGGAGTTCGGTGTCTGGACTTCTAATCAGCTTGTTCCTTACAGCACTATTTACTGAGGGAAAGATTTTAAATGTTCAGCTAGGAAAACTGGTGGAATATATTAGGATACATCATGACAAAAAGATGCAGCCTTTGACACACAACCTCTTATAGTATTTTTAACAACAGGCGGAAAGAGCCCTATGTAACATGAAGAAAAGTTAGAGACAAAGCCATATATATGTACGGTCCAGTCAGATACCAATTAGATAAGCAGACTCGACAGAGACTAGAAAGAACACACGAAAAGCAGTAACAGGGACTATTCTGTACTGGAGAATTAAGGGCTATTTTTCTTTTTTTCCATTTTGGTAATTTTGCAGGTTCTCTAGAAGCATAATTTGTGTTTGTAATCTTTTTTTTTTTTTTTTTTTTTTGAGACAGTCTCACTCTGCCACCTAGGCCGGAGTGCAGTGGTGCGATCTCGGCTCATGGCAACCTCCGCCTCCCGGGTTCAAGTGATTCCCGTGCTTCAGCCTCCTGAGTAGCTGGGATTAGAGACACGCGCCACCACGGCCGGCTAATTTTTGTATTTTAGTAGAGATGAGGTTTCACCATGTTGGCCAGGTTGGTCTCAAACTCCTGACCTCGGGTGATCTGCCTGCCTTGGCCTGCCAAAGTGCTGGGATTACAGGCGTGAGCCACCACGCCTGGCTGTATCTGTAATCTTTAGAGGTATTAAAAAAAATATATCTTCAACTAAAGCTTAGACTGATAGAAGAGGCAAAAGCAGGGCAAGAGAGAGGTGGCCCGACGCACACATTTTGGTTGCTGGGGTCTCATAACAGAACGGAACTTCTGAGGATTCTGCCCCATGCCCTGCTCTGGGGAGAGGGGTCCATCGCCACCCCGCACAGCCGGTGAGTCCCCACACCAGCAGCCCCAGCCCCCACTCGCCTCGCCGCTCTGCAATCTGCAGGTAGCCAGTGGACAGGTACTGCTCCATGTCCTGCTGGAAGGCTTCCTCAAAAAACTTCTGCCGCTCCTTCAGCTTCATTTGCTGGGTGTGCTCCATTTCCAGGACCTTCTGGGCGTGCTCTGCATCTAGTTCAGCTGAGGAAACAGAATAACTGGGGTTAGGGTTTGAAAAGGGACTGAGAGAGGAAATGGGTATAAACAGCTGCTCGCATCCACCCTCCAAGTGGATGGAGTCATGCCGCGTTTACAGACTGGGCTGGTGCCCCGACTGCGTGTACAGCTGGCCTCCTTGTCCCCCAATCTGCTGCACTTCCTCCCCCTACCTGGGCGGTCAGGGTCAGGCCCTTCGTTCCACACCTTTGCATGTGCTGTTCCCTTTGCTGGAACGACCTTCCCACCCGCATCGCCCATTCATCAGTCACAAACAGCTGTTCACCTTCCAAGACCAGCTTCTCAGGTCGTCCTTCTACTAACTCCAGTGGAGTCTGCTGCTCCATCCAGATGTTTCCACATCCCTGTGTTTAGACTTTTGCAGCTGACTTACAAAAATTGCAGTGCAATTGCTAAGGATTTGGAGTCCCTGCAAGACTGTGACCATGTATGACTCATTTCAACATGCTGTCACTCAGCTCAGAGCCTGGCACACAGTAAGCTCTCAAGGTATGTTTGTTAAAAGTATGTAACAGTAGAATACTATTCACCCTTAAAAAGGAGGGATATTCTGACACACGCTGTAACTTGGATGAACCTGGAGCACATATGCTAAGTGCAGTAAGCCGGAGTCACGAAAAGGCAAATGCTGTGTGCTTCCAGCCAGTCGCGAAAAGGCAAATGCTGTGTGCTTCCACTCATATGAGGTACCTAGAGCAGTCAGATGGATGGAGACACGAAGTGTGCTCTCAGGGCTGGGGAGAGGGCGTGGGAGCTTAGTGGTTAATGGGTACAGATTTTCAGTTTTACAAGACGAAAGACATCTGGAGATGGATGGTAGTGATGGATGCACAGCATGAATATATTTAATACCACTCAGCTGGACACTTATGAATTCTATGTACACATAAAATGGTAAATTTTATGTGTACTTTACCACAGTAAAAAGTTGGGAACAGGGCCGGGCGCGGTGGCTCACGCCTATAATCCCAGCCCTTTGGGAGGCCGAGGCAGGCGGATCACCTGAGGTAAGGAGTTCGAGACCAGCCTGGCCAATATGGTAAAACCGTAAAACCCCATCTCTACTAAAAATACAAAAATTAGCCAGGCATGGTGGCAGTCACCTGTATTCCCAGCTACTCAGGAGACTGAGGCAGGAGAATCACTTGAACCCAGGAGGCAGAGGTTGCAGTGAGCCAAGATCTTGCCACTGCACTCCAGCCTGGGAGACAGAGCGAGACTCTGTCTCAAAAAAAAAAAAAAAAAAAAGCTTGGGAACAAAAAAAGTAAGTATGTAGCCATCATGGTGTATTACAAAGTGCTTAATCTTGGCTTTTTAGTGTTTACTGACCACACAACCTAATCAGTTAACCTTCTCATCTGAAAATTTGGGATAGAAATATTAACCCAATATTGATATGAAACATATGAAAGGATGTGAAAAAATTTTATAATTTAAGGGACCAGTGACCCTTCAAGGTAAGCCTTAGTAATATACAAGGCAAGAACACTAACATAATTAACCTTCACCTGGTCATTCAAGCAAGAACCCCAAATCTCCCAGCTATAAACACTTTCCAGTAGTTTAACTTTTCCTCAAGGCACGTGATATGGTTTAGCTCTGTGTTCCCACCCAAATCTCATATCGAATTGTAATTCTCACATGTCAGGGGAGGGAAGTGATTGGGTCATGGGGGCAGTCTCCCCCATGCTGTTCTCGTGATAGTGAGTAGTTCTCACTAGATCTGATGGTTGTGTAAGTGTCTGACAGTTCCTCCTTCACATGCTCATACTCTCCACCTTGTGAAGGAGCCTGCTTCCCCTTCTGCCATGATCATAAGTTTCCTGAGGCCTCCCCAGCCATGCAGAGCTGTGAGTCAATTAAACCTCCTTTGTTTATAAATTACCTATTTTTTTTGAGACAGAGTCTTACTCTGTTCCCCAAGCTGAAGTGCAGTGACAGTGGTGCGATCTCAGTTCACTGCAACCTCTGCCTCCTGGGTTCAAGCAATTATTGTGCCTCAGCCTCCCAAGTAGCTGGGATT
The DNA here is from genome assembly GCF_000001405.40 of Homo sapiens. Classification (NCBI taxonomy): domain Eukaryota; kingdom Metazoa; phylum Chordata; class Mammalia; order Primates; family Hominidae; genus Homo; species Homo sapiens. The sequence goes on from NC_000006.12 coordinate 15,535,456, forward strand.
ACAGGAGCACGCCACTATGCCCAGCTAATTTTTTGTATTTTTAGTAGAGATGGAGTTTTGCCATGTTGGTCAGGCTGGTCTCAAACTCCTACCTCAAGTGATCTGCCTGCCTCGGCCTCCCAAAGTGCTGGAACTACAGGTGTGAGCAACCTCACCCAGCCTCAGGTATTTCTTTATAGCAGTGTGAATATTGACTAATGCAGCAAATTGGTACTGGAGAGAGTGGGGTATTGATATAAAGATACTTGAAAATGTGGAAGGGACTTTGGAACTGGGTTACGGGTAGAGGTTGGAACAGTCTGGAGGGCTCAGAAAAAGACAGGAAGATATGGGAAACTCTGGAACCTCCTAGAGACTTGTGGAATGGTTTCAACCAAAATGCTGATAGTGATGTGAACAATGAAGTCCAGACTGAGGTGGTCTCAGATGGAGATGAGGAACTTATTGGGAACTGGAGTAAAGGTCACTCATGCTATGCTTTAGCAGACTGGTGGCATTTTGCCATGCCTTTGAGATCTGTGGAACCTTGAACTTGAGAGCAATGATTAAGGGTATCTGGTGGAAGAAATTTCTAAGCAGTAAAGCATTCAAGACATGACCTGGATTATTCTGAAAGCTTTCAGTTTTATGTGTTCACAAGGAGATAGTTTGAACTTGGAGCTTATGTTTACAAGAAAAGCAAAACATAAAAGTTTAGAAAATCTGTAGCCTGACAATGCGACAGAAAAGAAAAACCCATTTTCTGGGGAGAAATTCAAGCCAGCTGCAGAAATTTGCATAAGTAATAAGGAGTTGAATGTTAAGTGCCAAGACAATGCGGAAAATGTCTCCTGGGCATGTCAGAGATTTTGGCAGCAGCCTCTCCCATCACAGGCCCTGAGGCCTAGGAGGAAAAATAGTTTTGTGGGCCAGGCCCAGGGGCCAGCTGCTCTGTGCAGCCTTGGGATATGGCACCCTGCATTCCAGCCACTCTAACTACAGCCGTGGCTAAAAGGGGCCAAGGTACAGCTTGGGCTATTGCTTCAGAGGGTGCAAGCCACAAGCCTTGGCAGCTTCCACATGCTGTTAGGCCTGCGGGTGCACGGAAGTCAAGAATTGAGGTTTGGAAACCTTGGCCTAGATCTCCCAGGATGTATGGAAATGCCTGGATGTCCAGGCAAAAGTCTGCTGCAGGGACACAGCCCTCATGGAGATCTCTATTAGGGCAGTGCAAATGGTAAATGTGGGGTTGCTGCCCCACCACCTCCACAGAGTCCCCACTGGGGCACTGCCTAGTGGAGCTGTGAGAAGAGGGCCACTGCCCTCCAGAGCCCAGAATGGTAGATCCACTGACAGCTTGCACCATGAATCTGGAAAAGATGCAGGCATTCAATGCCAACCCATGAAGGAGCTGCCCAAGGCCATGGGAGCCACCCCTGTAACCTGGAAGTAAGGCATGAAGTCAGAGGAGATTATTTTGGAGCTTTAAGATTTAATGACTGCCCTGCTGGATTTCAGACTTGCTTGGGGCCTGTAGACCCTTTGTTTTGGCCAATTTCTCCCATTTGGAATGGGAACATTGATCCAATGCCTGTACACCCATTGTATCTTGGAAGTAACTAACTTGCTTTTGACTTTATGGGCTCCTAGGCTAGACATTTGCCTTGTGTCACATGAGACTTTGGACTTAAGACTTTTGGCTTAGGCCGGGCGCGGTGGCTCACGCCTGTAATCCCAACACTTTGGGAGACCAAGGCGGACAGATCACGAGGTCAGGAGTTCAAGACCAGCCTGACTAACATGGTGGTCATGTATTTTTTGTAAAAATACAAAAAAAAATTAGCTGGGCATGGTGGTGCATGCCTGTAATCCCAGCTACTTGGGAGGCTGAGGCAGGAGAACTGCTCGAACCAGGACCCAGGAGGCAGAGGTTGCAGTGAGCCAAGATCACGCTACTGCACTCCAGCCTGGGCGACAGCGTGAGACTGCATCTCAAAAAAAAAAAAAATACGACTTTTGGGTTAATGCTGGAATGAGTTAAGACTTTGGGAGACTGTTGGGAAGGCATGATTGGTTTTGAATGTGAAAAGACATGAGATTTGGGAGGGGCCTGGGGCAGAATAATATAGTTTGGCTCTGTGTCCCCACCCAAATCTCATCTCAAATTGTAATCCCTACGCTGAGGAAGGGAGTAATTGGATCATGGAGGCAGTTTCGCCCATGCTGTTCCTGTGATAGTGACTAGTCCTCACGAGATCTGACGGTTTTGTGTTTGACAGTTCCTTCCCACGCTCACACTCTCTCCTACTGCCTTGTGAAGAAGGTGACTGCTTCCCCTTCTGCCATGATTGTAACTTTGCTGAGGCCTCCCCAGCTATGCAGAACTGTGAGTCAATTAAACCTCCTTTGTTTATAAATTACCCCTCTCAGCTATTTCTTTATAGCTGTGTGAAAATGGACTCATACAGCATGTACAGAGAATACAAAAAATGAAATCAGGGTCAGACATTTACCATTTTTGACCTGGTACATGGGTAAAGGATTACTTCTAAACTTGCTTTTAGATCTTAAATCCTTTGTACTTCACAGGGGTGCAGGGAGAATCCTGAGGTGGCTCTGAGACCTGCTCCCTGGTGTACCTGCTCTGCACTCCCTAGGCCTGGGGCTGGGATGGATTTTACCCTGTGCCTAGGTGATGTCCATGGCACAGCTGACTCCTTAAAGGGGGAACATCTGGGTGAGCCTGGCCTAGCTAGGCTTGTGAAGGGCACTGGGCCTTCTTGGAGAAAGATGTGAAGCGTGACAGGGATTTGACACAGGGCCATTATCTGTTGCTGGGTTGGAGGATGGAGGGGGCCACGTGGAAAGGAATGTGGGTAGCATCCTGGGGCTGAGAGCATCCCCGGGCTGACAGCAGGTGAAAGAAAAGGGGCCTCCATCCCACAATCACTAGGTGCCTGAACTCTGGCAATGACCTGAAGGGCCCTCACACAGATTCTTCTCCAGTGCCTCCAGAAAACAACGCAGCTCTGCGACCCCTGATCTCAGCCTCATGGAATACTGGGCAGAGAATCCAGTCACAGCTTGCCTACACTTCTGCCCTACAAACTGGAAGCTGATAAATTTGTTTCATTTTAAACTGTTATGTTTGTGGTTATCTATTACACAGCAATATGGGCTTATTCCAAACAGGCTGTATGAATTCAGGTCCCTGACCAAATCTGGTTGACTGTAAAAATGAAAAAGGACAACCTGAGTGCCTTACCTTACGTAAATATTTCCTAACTCCTGCCCTGTGTCTGTGGCAGACACCCTGCTCCGCTGAGTTTGGGTGCTATTACTCCGGAAAATCTAGTCATCTGCAGAAACCATTTCAGCTACCTTCTGTCCTGGGATACACTGTAACAAACCATTTCACCCAAGGCATTGTTTCCTCTGGTTCAGCTCAGGGGAGTATCAACATCTTAGGGGTGTTATCAAGATTGTTAACAAAACAAACGCAGCAGCTCTTACCATGGACAATGGTGAATGAGGTCCGTTATCTGCCTTAGTCCCTGCCCATCCCCACATTCCCAGCACCACACTCTCAACTCCGGAGTCCAGCAAGCTGGTATGCATGGCAGACCTTAAAACCCAGTGATGGAGTTTATCATCTCAAATCAGGTACAGTGTCTAATACTTAGAATACTATGGGCTTTCTTCTTATATTCTGATCTACATACATGCAAGAAACACAAACTAATGCTAACCAAAGCAACATAGGAAAAGTAAATATTCCTAATTAGCATGTAATCACATGCATAGTATTTCCTCTGTGCATTCTGCTCATACTGTTGCCAGTACTGGGTGCCCTCTCTCCATTTCCTGCTACCTCATCCCACATGTGTTTACGTGAAGACGGTCTGCCACAGTGGGAAGAGTTTCTTGTGCTCACAGGTTTTGGGCTAGGCCCAACTCAGGTCCTACACTCCTAGCGCCTCTTGGCACAGCCCTCTGGTCTACCTCTACGTTCAGCTGCAGCTATGGAAGCCAGTTCTGTGTGCGCTCATTGGGATGCACAGAGGGTCCCACCTCACAGCCACGCCTGTGTGGCTGTTTTTCTGGTCAGAGTATTCTCTGAATCTCAGGGAACCTAGCCAGCACAGCCCAGTTTTGTGGAATTAAGGCAGTTCTCAACCAACATGTGACAGAGGTCAGTGTCTCAGGACCCTGGTCTAACATCCTTTGGGTGGACGATTCTAGGAGGCGTTCTCAACACTTCTCAGAGATCCTGGTACGACGGCACATCCTCACTGGCTTTAGCAGCTTCCTGCTTTTAGCTTCTTTTCCTCGCTGTCTCACTTTCCCTGTCCCTCGCTCCTGCTTCTTGGAATCGCCTCCCAAAGGACCTGCAGCTAAATCCTCTTCAGGATTTAGTCTCAGACTCTTTTTCCACATAACTGATTTCACCAGAGTTGCAACTTCTCCTCCATACAAGTGCGGTAAAAACACCTATTTCGTAAGGTTGTTGGCAGGATTAAATGAGGTAGCAAATACGAATCACCAAGCATACAATGTTGGCCAATAGCTGGCAGCTAATATTAATACCAGCATTATTTAAACAACAGCCTCTTGAAGAGGGAGCAACACCAAATATTACCAAGAACCAGGACTCACTATGCACTGAAAATCACCTGCTCTGGGCCCCACTCAGATGCTTAAGAATTAGTTACCTTTCAGTACTCTTAATAAATCTGCAAGGAATTTAGAGTGTACTCGTAAGAAAAAAAAATGAACTGAAGAGGATGTCTTTTCATTTGTTTCACTTCAGTTGTCAACATATCTGTTCAAATGATTCATGGCTGCCAAGTGCATTAGAATAAGTCAACCCTAAAATACATTAAGTATGCTTCAACTGCTTCAAAGTTCAGCTAATCTTCTTTTGAAAAATAATTCCAGAATAGGCAGCTCAAAACCAAAGATCAATGCAGAAATCATCAAAGGGGTTTTAATTAAAGAATATCTTGTTTTAACAGAATTAAGATTTTCTGTAGATATATAACATAAAAAACATTTTTCTCAAGACTACTTCTGCTTTAAAAGTTTGATTCTCTCGTGTTGCTGAATTATTGGCCCTTCAGTTTATCTCAGTTTTTTCTACATCAGAATGAAATCCAATCATGTCTCGACCTTCACAAGGGAGGAGGGGTTAGATTAGGAAACTTAAAATGACTTTTTTCTTTTTTGACATGGAGTCTTGCTCTGTCGTCCAGGCTGGAGTGCAGTGGCGCGATCTCGGCTCACTGCAAGCTCTGCCTCCCAGGTTCACGCCATTCTCCTGCCTCAGCCTCCCGAGTAGCTGGGACTACAGGTGCATGCTGCCACTGCCAGCTAATTTTTTTGTATTTTTAGTAGAGACAGGGTTTCACCATGTTAGACAAGATGGTCTCGATCTCCTGACCTCGTGATCCGCCTGCCTTGGCCTCCCAAAGTGCTGGGATTACAGGTGTGAGCCAATGTGCCTGGCCTTAAAATGACTTATAAAAAATAGGAGAAAACAATCACTGTTTTAAGTTTTAAAACATGTTCCTCACTAGGTATCTGAAACATCCCCAGCTGTCCCCACCAGCTCCCCACTTCATTTCAGAGCCCTTTTTGTATCTCGGGGCTAAGCACTAAGCCAGCTTCACTGAGGACCGAGTATAGTTGCACCACACCAGCCACTATTCAGGATGACTATGAAAAAGCACAAAGCGGGCATTTAAAAATAACTTTGCTGCCCAACAGCTAAGAGACATTTGCCCTCAGCGACGTGACTGAATGAGGATGTTCTAATTGTGCTGTGTGTACTGAAATCATCAATTGGGCCTGCATCAAGAAAACAACCAAATATGGGAGAGGTGAAATGATGGGAGGATATTTGAAGGAAAAATTTCAAATCTAGGGGTTTAACAGCATCTGAATTTTAGAATGAGGACTGAAAAATCTAAATTACAGAACATTTTCTACAAGGAAAAATGACCCCTTGCTCACATTAAGATGCCATTTATTATACTGGGGAAAGCCAGACAAATACAAAGATGTTAAGAGCTTCAACAAATGGACTTCAGATTAAAAGAAAAAAAATCAAAACAAGATGCAGTAGTTTTTCTACGACGAGTCAAGAGTAATCATTTAATTCCATTATCACCTCAGGCCTATGTCTTTTTATTTCAACTCCAGATCATTGCTCAAGTTTTATCTGACTGCAACTTCCACTTTAGTTACCACTATCAATTTCAAATGCTTACTTACTCAAAACAACAAAAAATTCCATTACCAGTGAAGACGGAATAATCAATTCTCAATTATACGTTTTAATGGGGCATAAGGGTGGCACAAGATATATGAAATTAAAAAAAACCAAGTTCATTTCAGGAACATATTCAACATACTCTACAACTAAGCCTTTTAACCGAGATAGGTAATAAATATAGTGAGGTGTTAATGACCGAAAAAGGCCCCCAAACCTCTGGGAGTCATGTATAGAAAACTAGGATAAGCCTCTCTCTTAAGAGTTCAAAATGTTAAAAGAGAAACAGTAACACTTACTACATATGAATTGAGAAAAATTCTAGTAATCTCTCTATTAAAGATTAAGAGCATTGTTCATTAGAGATAAATAAGACTAAGAATAAACTTTAAAAACTAACTTCAATATTTACAATTCAGGTGTTTTTATATTGAGTTAGGAAATATGAGTTTTGTGATATTAAAATACATGTGACATGATCAAGAGAGAACTGTGAAATATCTGTAAGTCTCTAAACAATTTTCTGAATACAAATAAACATCTCTTCAAGCTGTTTTTTGATAAAAACAATTGCCAACAGTCTGTCAAATTACATAACCACTAGAAGACATTAAATTCTGTCAATGTGACAGATTTTAAAAATTGGGACCTATGATTTGTTTTGTTTTTTGTTTTTTGTTTTTTTTAGACGGAATCTCACTCTGTCACCAGGCTGGAGTGCAGTGGTACGATTTTGGCTCACTGCAATCTCGGCCTCCCTGGTTCAAGCCATTCTCCTGCCTCAGCCTCCTGAGTAGCTGGGATTACAGGCACACGCCACCACACCCAGCTAATTTTCGTATTTTTAGTAGAGACAGGGTTTCACATTGTTTGACAGGATGGTCTCGATCTCCTGACCTTTTGATCCACCCGCCTCGGCCTCCCAAAGTGCTAGGATTACAGGTGTGAGCCATCGCACCTGGCCAAATTTTTTATGCTTCTAATTATTTGCATTTTTTTCTTTTTAGACAGAGTCTCACTCTATTGCCCAGGCTGGAGTAAAATGGCACGATCTTGGCTCACTGCAACCTCCACCTCCTGGGTTTAAGTGATTCTTGTGTCTCAGCCTCCCGAGTAGCCGAGTAGCTAAGACTACAGATGTGCACAACCACACCTGGCTCATTTTTGTATTTTTAGTGGAGACAGGGTTTCACCATGTTGGCCAGGCTGGTCTTGAACTCCTGACCTCAGGTGATCCGCCCACCTGAGTCTCCCAAAGTGCTGGGATTACAGGCATGAGACACCGTGCCCGGCCTATCTGCATTTATTTAATAGGGTATTTTTGATGCATGAACTATGTACACTGAGGAAAATTTTTAGCCATAAAAAATTATTTATTCCACAAATAATAGGGTGAAAGTCCCTATTTTAGGGGACTTTTCCTATTATAGATGACTACAACTAGCACATTTTGGTGTATACCCATCAGGGATTTTTCCCCCCATTAGGATGACTATATGAAATTGCAATACTCAATTTTTAAAGCTTTTTACTTCGAAATAATTATAGGTTCATAGGATGTTACCTAGAAATGTACATCCTGAATGTCCCTCAGTGCTAACATCTTACATAATTCTGGTATAAGGTCAAAACCCAACAATTAACATGGGTACAATCCACAAAGCTTATTCAGATTTCACCAGTCACACATGCGCTGTGCGTGCAGATGGGCATACAGCTCCATGCAGTCTTACTACATGCATAGCCTTGTGTAAGCACTACATCAATACAGTACCACCGTAAGACTCCCTCAGGTTCCCCTTGCAGGATACAGTAAATTCCTCTTCAAAGTTTAGCCTGTTAACTTCCTTTAAAATTCAAGAAGGAGAAAAATTGTTAAGTACAATAAGTTCTGAGTTCTTCTTCAAAGAACCAATATGTCAGTATGTTCAGCTTCCCTGTTCTTTGTTCTCCATTTTAAAGTTTAACTTCCTCATTCTTTACTCTCCTTGCCCCTAGTTTCAGTAAATGACCCCCTCCTAGCCTCTGTCACCTGTTCTGTCCTTAGGCATCCTTAGTCACCTGTTCTGTAACTGTCCTTTCCACCAAAACTACTCACCCTGCCACTCCGGCTCATACCCTTGCTCTCTTTAAAAGAGACAATTGGAATTAGCTTAGACTGTGCAGTCCAACCCTAGCCAATAGGGGAAAGACACAGCAGTAGGAGCTAGCGGCATTAGGAATAAGACCCCTTCCCCTTCCTTGTCTGGTGTGCTCTCGCCATTGTTCCATCCACAAGATACACCCTTCTATAGAAGTAAATTGCCTTGCTGAGAAAACTTTTGCCTGAGTGTCATTTTCACTTGGTGACACCAAGCATTTACTTCCAACACCTCTTATAGCCATGCCCTCCTTCCCCAAACACTCAGCTGGACTCCAAATCTATAATTATGTTATTTCATATGTTATGTAAGTGGAATCATGTACTATATATCCTTCTGAGACTCGCTTTTTTCACTCAGCATAATTGCCTTGGGGTTTCTCCAAGCTACAGCACATAATAATCTGTTCCCTTTTATTATTGAGTAGAATTTTATGGTATGGATGTACCACAGTTTGTTTAACCATTCACCCACTGAATGGCTGTTTCCAACTTTTGGCTATTATGAATAAAGCTGTCATGAACATTTGTGTATGAGTTCCTACATGAAAATAAGTACTTTCTCTTGCATAAATGCCCAAGAGTGCAACTGCTGGGTCATACGGTAAGTTCATTTTTCGGTTTTGAAAGGAACTGCCAAACTCTTTTCCAGAGTAGCTATTCCATTTTACATCCCCATCATCACTGTGTGAGTCAGCTAGTTTCTCTGCATCTTTGCCAGCATTTGCTGGGACTTACTAATTGTAACACAGGTTGAGTATCCCTGCGCTGAAATCTGAAGCTTTTTGAGCACCTACCTGATTCTAACAGGAGATGCTCATGGGAGCATTTAGGATTTCAGTTTTTTGTTTTAGCCATGCTCAACCAGTAAGTGCATACTGCAAATATTCCAAAATCGGAAAAAATCCAAAACCTGCAACACTTCTAGTCCCAAGTATTTCAGATAAGGGATATGTAATTGTACAGACTGTTTCCTTTTCTCTCTCTTTTCTCCAGAATGTGGATGCCTGTCAGAAACAAGTTTCAGCTTCCTTTTAAATATTTTCAATAATTGCTGTTTCCAAAGGTACTTTTAGTTCCCTGAGCTTAGTAAAATATATTTTAGAAAAATTTTGTTCAGAAACTGAGGACTTGTTAGACAATGACAAAATACACAATATTTCCTTGCAGTTTTAAAAACCACTTTTCCTGTACTGTTACCATTTTTAACAGTTACATTTTTTCTTACCTCAGTTTTCAAATAAGGTATACACAACAATTTTTAAAGTCTCCCAATCTCCTGCCCCCACTTAAACAAATGAATACAAATTTTCTCAGGCTGGATTAAAAAAAAAGACCCGTAAAAGTATTTTCCTGGCATTGGTTTTCCTTATACATGAATTTTTAAGGTATCAACTTCTGTGACCTGTGTTTCTACAGTTTTAAAAAGTTTTATATCCAGCCTTCATCAATAATTAGTTTTCAAAACAGACATATTTATTTTATACCATACATTATTTCTGTGAGTATTCTAAAGTATTATAGAACATTATTCCTCAGAATTGGCATTTGGAAAAACAATTCTGTGCATGCTAAAGTTAACACACGTTTTCAAAGAAAGTTAAATGACTTTACAGAGCTTTTCTTAACCCTTGCTCCAACACAGACACACACACACACCCTTTACACACATTAATCAAGTACTATACTTTTACATGCAACTAAAAAAAGATGATCCTTACCTAAAACACAGTAGTTAGGAATAATGGCAGTTTTTTTGCAGATAGTCAGAATAAATAACTTTTACATAACAAAGAATTCATGGCAACTACTGAGTTGGTCACAAAATTAGGTCCTTAGGAACAGCTACTGGAAATGCTGTTTCCTAAAACCATGCTGCAGGAAACACTATTCTAGTATTCTGGAACAGTTTTCGAATTCCTATCAATTACCTTAAGGAAATGACCACTATCTAGAGTATTAACAAAATGAACACTGCAGGAACAAGATGTGTATGAGGCTTGTTAGAAATAGTTAAGACAGAATGCTCAACAATACCTTAGCTTTTATGGGAAGGGCAAGGCAGTTTAGAAGACCGGGGTCTGACTGCAGGGCCAGCTCAGGCAGGCGGGTCTCAGCACACCACTCACCTCCCACCATGCACCCTGGAGGCCTCAGATTTCCCATCGCCAGGAGGGTGGAGCTGGCTGAATATGGATCGGAAGGTCACCTCCAGTTCTTTTTTTTTTTTTTTTTTTTGAGACAGAGTCTTGCTCTGTTGCCCAGGCTGGAGTGCAATGGTGCGATCTCGGCTCACCGCAACCTCCGCCTCCAGGGTTCAAGCAATTCTCCTGCCTCAGCCTCCTGAGTAGCTGGGATTACAGGCGCGTACCACCACGCCCAACTACTTTTTGTATTTTTAGTAGAGATGGGGTTTCATCATGTTGGTCAGGCTGGTCTCGAACTCTCTGACCTCGTGATCCGCCTGCCTCAGCCTCCCAAAGTGCTGGGTTTACAGGTGTGAGCCACCGCGCCTGGCCCCACCTCCAGTTCTTAAATGCTGAGAATCTATTTTTATTTACTTCTGATTGGAGCAGGAAAGGGTGATCCCAAAGCCTATCTTGTTTTTAGTATAATTATATGAATATCAGATTAGCATTAAGGAATCTAAGACCTTTTGAGTTAGACAATGACATTTCAAGAAAATAAGATTTAATTATTAACAAAAACCTGAAGGTATTTTTACATTCATTTTCCTGGCCATGTGATTGATTGAAGAATGATAAGAACCAGAAAGTGTAAGATAAATGGATCAGTAAGAAATGCACTTAATCATAAATTATTACCCTTGTTCAAATTCACAGGCTCAGACTAGGAGGTTAAGGGTACGGTGTGGTGGCTTCTGCAATGAGTACAGGTAGCACCAAGAAGGCTGCTTCCTGTAGGAGATCGACAAATACCTACATGGATGAGTCACAGTTCGAAGGAATGGTTCAACGCCATTTGAAAATGCTCTTCAGTGATATGTTGACAAAGATGCTTTTTACAGAAACACTATGCTAAAATGCCGCATGAAATAGCAGCTTTTTCTTTCTTTCTTTCTTTTTTTTTTTTTTTTTGGTAAGACTAAAAAGAACTTCAGTCTAGAAGCTTTGTGTTATGGATATTTAGACAAAAGCCCAATTTCTAGAATTTTTAAGCCACATCTGACATGTTCCTGAATTTTAACTATGGAATTGGCCTACTTATTAACAGTTTGAGGGGAAAAAATGGAAGAAGTTTAGATCACTACAGGAATCTTTTCAAAATCAAAGGCTTTTTTTAAAACGCTGCATAAAAGACTTTAGAAAAAGTAGTATAAACCAACTGCCAGCGTCTGTGAGTGAAAATTATTTATTAAAGAGTCCATTCAAAAGGGTTGTACAGACAGAAAACCAGTGGTTCTCCACATTTGGCAGCATCAAAATCACCTACAGGACTAGTGAACAGAGATTCCTGGACCCCATATCCAGAATCTGATTCAGTAATCCATTTGGGCCAAAGATTTGCATTTCTAACCAAACCCCAGGTAATGCTGACACTGCTTGAGAACCACTGCTCTAGACGAACTACATCTGTGCAACCACTGCATTACTTCATTTACATTTTGACCTTGTATAAATATTTATACAATGGGAAACAGACGAAGCAGCTGGTACAATCCATAGAAATGACGGAAATGTTATCTCCTTAACTCTTGAAAATATCTGTGAAATTATCCAGAACGGAAGAGCTCCAGCAGCAACCAAAATGCATAATCACAGACAAGAATTGCCTGTTGTCAACCTTATGGGTGACAATAACGGATAAGCCCCTTAAGGCAGGCTTTCCTCCTTAGCAACTCTGTGCCATTCTGTGGAATCCATTACCAGTCCCTGTGCTTGGTGGCTTCCACACAGAAGGAGGCAAGATCCCCTGTGACCAGATCTGTGCTTTGTCCTGAACTCCAGATATAACAGAGTGGGTTCTCATCCTCTCCATTTTCAGAGACAACATACAGAAGTTTTCAAGCCATCTGCATTTAATTTTCCCATAAACAATATAAAATTATATTTGTATTCAAAGCTAATAGACAAAACTCTGGCAAATAAAAATTTTAGAGAAGAAAAAATACATACAAGCAAAGTGAGATGTGAGAAAGTGAATATGGCAACAAATGCTGAAGAGATGCAAAATCAATGTTAACCATAAATTTCTATTAATCGAAACTCTCAGACTCCAACAGTATAACAAAGCTAATCACAATGATAACCTAAGGTATTCAAAGATTTAAGAGATTTCTGAATTATTAAAACATTTTATAGTATATTCTAACTGCTTTGAAAATTGGTCATCTTTGACAGACTGGTAAATATCAACAGATAAAAGGTTTGAATTAATCAAAAACTTCCCAACCTTGATAACCTGGTATGCTTGTTATTCAACATAAATAATCACACATTTAAAAAGTTTTAAAAGCGTTCTACCTGCTATGGATTCATGGCCGTTCAACACAATCTATGTGTTAAAATAGATCAGACCCAGGATTCAGGTCAGCATTTGCTATTCTTAATCTCTAAGCTTAAACACACACAGACACACACACACACACACACACACACACACACACACACACACACCACAATTCTTCCCATGTATAACACATTTGGAAGGCAGGAAGGACGTTTTTTGCCAACAGAAAACTCTTAAGAACACAAAAACCAAAAGCATCCCCTTGTTTCCAACATTTTGATTTCAGTATATAAATGATGTTGATGGAATTTTCTCAGTAAGACAATTCTCATTTCTATGGTTATAGTGATTTAAATTGGCTGCTATGTTACAAAAGAATCTTGAGAAATATCTAAAAACTAAACTCATATAAAGAAATTTTGACATAGAGGAAAAAAAGAAGGCAGTTAATATGTCAGCACATCTAAACATAAGGCAATGTTAATTTAAAAAACAAAAAGAAAAAAGCCTGTTGAATAGTGATTGAACATAATATTAAAATCTATGGTTTGGGTTTTGTTATTTGTTTTAATCATGAGAGAAAAATCCTTCAGATGTAAAATTTAAGTTTTCATTAATTATTAAAAATGTATATTTTTCTATCTTATTCATTCAAGAACAAGCAACCACTTGACAAATGTGGACTAATTTTGACAGTAACCCCTCACTACCAGGAATGGAGAAATACACAAGCTTCAGTTGTTTTCTCATGATCCAGACTGCAAATAAAATGCAGTTGCAAATAATATCACCTACAATTTTGTTTAACTCCAAAGATCTGAGGGTCTCTAATTTGAGCATTACAATCAGAAAAACAAAGCTGATTTTCTTCTTTTTAAAGGGAACCTGAGACCGGGCATGGTGGCTCATGCCTGTAATCCGAGCACTTTGGGAGGCCGAGGCAGGCAGATCACAAGGTCAGCAGTTCGAGACCAGCCTGGCCAACATGGTGAAACCCTGTCTCTACTAAAAATACAAAAATTAGCCAGGCGTGGTGGCGGGTGCCTGTAATCCCAGCTAGTCGGGAGGCCGAGACAGGTGAGTCGCTTGAACCCAGGAGGCGGAGGCTGCAGTGAGCCGAGACCGCGCCATTGCACTCCAGCCTGGGCAACAGAGCAAGACTTTGTCTCAGGGATTAAAAAAAAAAAAAAAAAAAAAAAAAAGGGAACCGAAATATCGCAATCCAGAAACAGGCTGGATGTGGGTGGCAGGTGCAGTGGACGTGGTGTCCTGGCAGCTGCCCTTTCCGTCAGCCCTCCTAGCCACCTCTGGCACCCCCGCAGCAACTCTGGGCCTCCCCTGTTGAGGCTCATTGTCCTGTCCTCACTAGGTTGCATTATCTTTTTTTCTAGCATTTTATACTAAGCTAGCTGTCGACCAAACCGAAGCCTTGTGAAAAGTTTTAACAAGAGAAGATCCTTTCAACTCTTCAGAGCCAAGATTCAGTATTTTTAGGTTTAGTGTTTCCCAGGGACATTTGCATTTTCATAGGACACTACAGAATCTGAAAGGCCTTTGAAGCTCAAGGAAAAAAGCTACAGCAAGGAATCACTTTCAATCTTTTTGGGCAGGGCTCTTGCCCCTTGACCCAAGCCGTACCACCACCAGAGCTAGATCCTGACTACGCCAATCCCACCTCACTTCAAGAACTTCCTGTCCAAAGGTGAGGGAACCTGACTACTGATACCTGCAGCTCCCCACCGTCCATCAGTGTAGCTCCAGGAAATCAAAACCAGGTTTAAAATTTACCATTAGTGTAATGATTATCAACATTAATTAGAATTCAGATGCTAGATTTCCTTGGATTTTGAATGTCACTGAAGAACACTTAAAAATGTTCAAAACAATCACCTTTAGAGATGTTTCCACTCATACTGCCTTGATTTCAAATTAAGTAGTCCAAAAATTCTAATCTAGGACAACGAGTCTCAAACCTTTTCAAGTTTAAGAATGGGTATACTTTTTTGGCAATTTACGAGATAGTATGTGACAACAAAAATCTATTATGAATTCAGTAGCACTTTACATAGCTTTGAATTTTGTTTCCCACAACATTTACATATATTTCAAATAAAATACTGCATATACTTGCAATACAAAATATTTATCCAAAGCTCAACATGCTTTTGAGTTCAAAGGCCTCTTGTTATAAATATCCTCATGCCACCAGTTGGAAATATCCTGCCTCTAAAAGGTTCAGTGACAGCCAAATCTCAGCATGCTTGAAAGCTGATCATATCTGCTGGAAACCTCATTATTTCCAGAAAATATTTTTGAAATGGGGACATATCACTTTCAATTATAAGCTGTTGAAGGCTTATGAATAAGTGACTTATGAATAAATCAGTATTATGAATAGCTGTCTTGGTCCCCTCCCTCCTTCCACCAGGAGTCCTTCACTGCCAGCTAATGAGATGGGGATGAGAGGCAGATTCTGCCCCTCCCAGGCAGGCTGGTGTTGCAGCCCACAGGGATGACGGAAGATGGACCTGGAGAAGTTCCTGAGTCCACAAGCTGAGGAAGATGCTGCATGAGGAAGGTCGGAGCAGGGGAGCTGTCAATGTGGGGGCAGCATGCTGAGTCATCTGAATTTTGTCACCTTTCTTGAGATTTCACCAATTAGAGATTACATGTTTTAATATGTCCTTTTCAGTATGAAGAATACTATATTCAGGGGGCTCTGAGAAAACTAACATTCAAAGCTTAACATGAATTAGTTTATCAGGACCTCTCCCTTACTGCTTCTCTAAGATTAACTGCTCTATAGATGAAGGGGTAAATGAGCAGAAAGAGAGGTGATGTGAAAAAAAAAATGCAGCAGCTGGGAGACAGGACACCCCTGCTTGGGGCCCTCAGCAGGAGCTTTTGGCAAACCTGAAGGTATCAATGCCTTGGGACAAGGACGTGCAAAAGACAAGTATGAGATGCTGAAGATGTGCTACTTCTGATTCAAAATAGTGTTCAGAGATTTTACCCCTCACTCTTCCTGTTTTCTACTGGCTACAACAACCTTACGCTCAGTAAAGACGTATAAGAATAGCTTTGCAATGAAACTGCTATTCAGGAAGTATCCCTAGGAAGCCGCTTTTCCAGCTGCGGAAGAAGGACACACAGCCAACACCTGATGGTTCTCCAAAGAAGCCATGCCCTGACTTGTAATTGCCTTGACCCTTTGCTCAGACGCCTGCACTCAGCCAACTTCCACTCACCCTCCACATCTCAGCTCGACTGCCCCCTTCTCTGACAGGCCAGGGAGACCCAGGCTCTCTTTCCTCCACGCTCCCACATAGCTGGTACCTCTCCATTGCTACCACACACTTGCCCCCTATAGTTCCACTGGATGCCACGTTCCTCGAGAGCAAGCACTGTGTCTTTCAACATGGAAGCTTTAGTGCCTGTCATGGAGTTGGCGCTCGGCAACAGTCTGATGAAGGTACTGGTAGCAATCACTAAATGGGGACTGCACAGTAAACGCCAGATATCAGGAGCAGCCTCACAAGTACACAGGAGTAGGCCTTCAACTGGCTGCTTGATCGCAAAGCCACAGCCAGCAGTCACAGCAGGCCAGACGTTTGAGGTGCAGTGATGCAGAAGATAAACAGCACACAGCTCAGGAAACAGCAGCACAGCTGACGGGAAACACCAGCATGCCATTCTATGGGCTGGAAACAAACAAGTACAATCCTCATGGCTAAAAGTGGGAGCAGGAAGTGGCTACAAGGGGCTCTCAGGAACAGGCAACGGACAATGACATCAGACTGGTCCATGGAATCAGTGCAGGAGGTATCCAAAAACACCTGCACTTAAGATTCAGTTCAATAAAAAGTGACGTTACCCAAGGGCTATGGAAAAGCTGGCCAGGAAATCTGTAATGCATTAAAAATAGCATGCCAAAAATAAATCACATCCAAATGATCAATAAAATACACCCTCTGAACTCCTCCCCCAAATTCATACTCACAAAATGATGCCATGAACCTTTCTTTGGGGTTGACCACACCTGAAAGTAGGCAGAGAAGCTGAAGGAATATTGAGGGTTTATTTAGAATAGCACACAACCTATAAGCTGATATTATTTATTCAATGAAAGGTTTAACACATCCAAGATATTACAGGATTCCCTTACATGTACCCAATTAGTATGACAGCACAGCTGGGTGCAGTGGTTCATTCCTGTAATCCCAGCACTTTGGGAGGTCAAAGCAGGAGGACTGCTTGAGGCCAGGGGTTCAAGACCAGCCTGGCCAACATAGTGAGACCTCCTTTCTCTATTTTCTTGAAAAAAAGACAGCAAGTCATATACAAGAAGCCTATTATTTTGTAAGAAAAGTATAACTTATAAACTGAGCTAACATTCCTAAAATAAGACCCATATGGTTTTGAAAACTGTGATGTGATAATGTCCTTTTCATGAACTCTCCTGATAACACATGTTGATATTCCTTAGGATGAAGATTTGCCCATCAATTCAATACACAGAAATAAATTATTTTCATGGAATACTTTCAGGTCTTCTATGTTCTAAGCACAAAGTAGAAACTCAAAAGTGATTGTGAAATGAGTGAACAACGATTAATTAAAAAAATAAGAGTAAGAGGGTATAAGATTCAGGAAATACCCCCTTAAGGAAAAAGTTTCATCTAAGCTCAAACAATCATTTTATTTCATTGCTTAGTTTTTTGGTGTACGATCATCAACAGGAGAGGGGAGAAAAATCCAAAAACTCTTGCCAACTTATGAAAAAAGCAGTTTGCCTGAAAATCAAGTAAAACAAGTTGATGAAATGATTTGTAAAGTCAGGAATACTGCCCTGTTATATTTGCATTTCCTTTGTTTCTCATGAAGGGTTGCAGCCTGTAGGGTGGCCATTCTGACAGGCTGGGAAGCACAGCCTCAGGCCAGAAGCCAGACACAAACACTTTGAGGGAGGGGCAGAGGGAACAGAAATAGCATACAAAAAAGGTCCTGGATGAAAATACAAGATTTTTAGACATTTGAAAACATAAGCTTCATATTATGAAAGACGGTACCATACAAGATAGATATTGTTTTAAATTCAGATAAAATGGAACCACACAGCATTCCAGAGAGATGGTAAGTGGTAAGTGACTTGATTAGCATTTTGACATAAACTGTTTTAGGCCTTCCAAAGTCTTTTATCTATCTTTCCTCACATGCAGAGGAACAACTTCATTCTATTCTTCATGTGCAAAGCAGTTCAATGCTCTTGACAAGTGAGCTTTTTTTTTTTTGGCCTCAGACAGCTTTGCCATTTCTTAAATTTTCTTATAAAAGCCTATGTAGGTTCCTTAGAAGCAGACCCAGAGCCTGAAAGCTAATTCTTAAGTCGTTTTCATTTTTCTTTTTTCCTTCCTTTCCTAAGCCTAATTCCTTTTATTTATGATTTTGGGTGATGGGGTTCAGGACACAATACCCCAAAATATGGCACTGTGGCGTATTAGATATTTGAAGCTGAAAGAATCTGAGAAAACTGCAGAAACAGGAGGATCGCTCTCACCTTCCCCTTGCCCTTCTCCCCTGAGGCAGGCATAAAACCTAGGAAGGATCTTCTCATTTTCTCCTGAAGCAGGACACAAGATCCTCATGTGAGAGACGCCAACCCTACACATGGAGAGAAAGGACTCTATCTCAAATAAGAAGAAGATGCAGGGACACAGAGAGGAATCTGAACAAACAGAACTTGCTAAGTTCCCCCCAGTTGACTGCTATTACATCATACTCTTTGTCCAGTCATATTTCTACACAGCTGTCCACTCTTCATCAAGCCTAGCATGCAAATACATCAAGTTTCTGTCGCTTTGGGTCTTCATTTCTGAAGGCTCCCATGTCACATAAAACTTATATTAAATTTGTATGCTTTTTTCTTCTTTTTCTTCTTCTTCTTATTATTTGAGATAGAGTCTCACTATGTTGCCTAGGGTGGTCTTGAACTCTTGGGCTCAAGTGATCCTCCAGCCCCTGCCTCCCAAGTAGCTGGAATTACAGGTGCATACCACTATGCCCAGTGGCTTTTTTCTTATTAATCTGTCTTTTGTTATAGGGGTCTTAACCATGAACCTAGGATGGGTGAGGGAAAGATATTTTTCCTCCTGTCAACTGAAGAATGAGGTTCATAAATCTGGAAAGAAGAGCTTTATTTCTCATGAAGGGTTGCAGCCTGTAGGGTGGCCATCCTGACAAGCAGGGAAGCACAGCCTCAGGCCAGAAGCCAGACACAAACACTTTGAGGGAGGGGCAGAGGGAACAGAAATTGATGCTAAGCAGGGTGGCCACATGTACATATTCAATAAACTGTAGGAGGAGTCATGAATATTTATGAAAGGAGAAAGGTGCACACATGCAACGGAGCTTCATGCTCCTTCATGGGACTGATGTACAAAAAAATGGTGGCATTAGCAAGATCCAAGGGTGGATTGCTGCCCTCTGATGTCAAAAGGTGAAGAAGACCAGAAAACCCTTGCTGTGCAGTCTCTGTAGACTGGCCCGAACCATTCCGTGGTCGGTGGTCTCTTATGGGAAAAAATGCTGGTCAGTTATGCGAAAACCGCAAAAGGGAGAAGCAGTGTCTGGTGGTTGGTTGAAATCAGCGGTGGAGTCTTTTGAAAGGGCTGTTTGCTCCTTAGCCCTTGGGTGAGAAAGCCTAATCATGGTTAGCCAGGGAGGGGGGCATATGAGAGGCATGTCTGACCTCCTATCCCATCATGGCTGTGAACTCAGTTTTCAAGGTTACTCTGGGTCCCCTTGGCTAAGAGGAGATCTGTTCAGTCAGTTACGGGGCTTAGGATTTTATTTCTCACTCCCCTACATAAATACGCACACAAGATAAAACACTTTCCTCTTTGCTGGAATCTCTTAATGTTGATGGTCAAAAGGTCCTATATTTACCATTTAGGATGTTAAGAATCTAAAATGATCCAGCAATATTGTCAAAGGCATTAGAACCAGAGCAACTCCGTCTTGAATAGAGGCTGGGTAAAAGGAGGCTCAGGCCTCCTGGGCTGCATTCCAAGGATGGTTAGGCATTCTTAGTCACAGGATGAGATAGGAAGTCAGCAGGACTGTTATCACAAGATACAGGTAATAAAGACCCTGCTGATAAAACAGGATGTAGTAAAGAAGCCTGCCAAAACCCACCAAATCCAAGATGGGGATGAAAGTGACCTCTGGTTGTCCTCACTGCTCATTATACACTAGTTACAATGCATTAGCATGCTAAAAGATACTCCCACCAATGCTATGACAGTTTACAAATGCTATGGCTATGTCCAGAAGTTACTCTACATGGTCTAAAAAGGGGAAGAACCCTCAGTTCCAGGAATCCCCACCCCTTTCCCAAAAAACTCATAAATAGTCTACCCCTTGTTTAGCATATGACCAAGAAATAACCATAAAAATAACCAACCAGTAGCCCTTGGGGCTGCTCTATGGAGTAGCTTTTGTTTCTCCTGTAATAAACTTGCATTCACTTTACTCTGAATTTGCCTTCATTCTTGAACAAGATCCAAGAACCCTCTCTTGGGGTCTGGATTGGGACCCATTTCCAGTAACATCTTCCTGGCAAACCACCAAGGGACAACACTGGAGAAACCCCGACCCAAAAGAATAGACTGCAGCACTAATTGGCCAACTTTGCGTAAGTAGTATTTTGTCCAGGGTAAAGAACAGAATTGGGTTAGAGGCCCAACTTAGCAGGGTTAGAATCCCTCCTAAGAAACAGGCAGTTAAAGGTCTTTGGGTTAATCCCCGGGTTAAAATGCCCAATTTAGCAGGGTTAGAGTCCCTCCTAAGAAATAGGGAGTTAAAAAATCTTTTTTTTTTTTTTTGAGACGGAGTTTTGCTCTTGTTGCCCAGGCTGGAGTGCAGTGGCACAGTCTCAGCTCACTGCAACCTCCACCTCCTAGGTTCAAGAGATTCTCCTGCCCCAGCCTCCTGAGTAGCTGGGATTACAGCCATGCGCCACCAAGCCCAGCTAATTTTTGTATTTTTAGTAGAGACGGGGTTTCACCATGTTGGCCAGGCTGGTATTGAACTCCTGACCTCGTGATCTGCCTGCCTCGACCTCCCAAAGTGCTGGGATTACAGGCATGAGCCACTGCACCTGGCCTAAAAGTCTTTGGATTAACTTGCCTTGTGCTCTTTGCTGTTGGCTGTGGGTGACAGAATTGGGCATGTACAGAAGCACATGGGACATGGGGAGACTTTTCTTCTCAAAGGAGAAACTTAAGAGCTCATGAAGATGCTGGAGATCAAGATCCCTTTGTGGCTGACAAGCAGCCACCTGAACTTTTGATTCAGTGTCACCGCACTGGGTGGGTCTTTCCCTGGCCTCCCTGAGCTCCTCGCCTGCCCAGCCCCATTTCAGGCAATGCTATTTTCCCTTCCCTCCTTCCCTTCCCTTCTCTCTCTCTCTTGCACCCTTTTTCCTTTCCTATCTTTTCTGTCACTCAGGGCAACTGTCCTCTCTTCCATCCTGCCCAGGGACCACATGTTGAAACTCCTGGTCAGAGGTCATTCCATCCCACTTTGAATGGATTAAATGCTTTAAGGTCATAAACTGCTTCTTTGACTTGAAAATTGTTCAGCTTGACTGCTTTGGAGCCATTAGATTCTAGATAAGGCCTGGGGACCTGTGGAGTTGGCCATGCCCCTTGGGTATGCTGGAAAGCATCATACCTTGTCTGCACTTCTGTCTGGTGTCCTAGGCTTCACACCTGGTACCTACCAGGATTTTTACCAAAAATAAAAGTTGCTAAGAGTTAATACCATAACATACGTAACTGAGACTACTGGCTAAACAGTTTTACATGTAAGGTGTGTTAAAAGTAGAATGTGTTTTTGGTAAAATACTATAAGAAGGCATGGGGGTGGGAATTTTTTTTTTTTTTTTTTTGCCTGGTTTAAAAGGTTAAAGGATTGTTTTAAGTTAGATATGATAAAGCTGAAGGTTTGAGCAAATTGTGAAAGGTTTGTGAAAGACTAATCTTGTAAAAGAAATTCTGTGTGTAAACACATTGGCTAAAGTTAAAGGGGTAATATTCAGTTTTTACATAAATTGAATATTGAAATAAAAGCACTGCAGGGTTTTCTTAGAATATTAATCTTTTATTTAACAGAAAATTTTAACAGTTTATAAAAGGTTTACAGGAATCCTACCTTATGGTCAAACTGATTAAGACTGGACAAATTTATCTAAGGGTTTTACTAAGAATTGGGTTTAACATTCATAGTACACAAATACAAAGGTGAAATCTGGCCCATGAAGAAGAATTTCATGTAATATTAAAAGACAATGAAAGATTTTTGTTTGCCTAAGCTACAAAAAAGAGGCAGGAAAAAAGAGATTGTTTGGAAAGCTAAGTTCTCCTGTATTAACAGGTAAAGGTTTTTGTCTTTTTAAAATCTTTATCATTTTGGCTAAATGACTTATTGTGACCTAGGATTCTATTTTATAATATCAAATGTTTTAAACCTTTGATATTTGACAAACTTTCCAAAGTAAAATTATAAATCATGTCTTTTTCTTAATTAATCTTTTAGATATCAGTCCCCTAAAGTAAAAAATGATATATTTGGCTTATTTGGTATATTAAAATCATACAGGAAGCATTGTTAAATATGAAGTTGTGTTTGGCTTTCTTTGGGTTGTATCTATATAAATATATTATTGGTATGTGTTCCAAAAATACTGGAAACACCTATAATTTTGATATGACTTAGTGTACGTTATCAGTAATTATATTATGTTAAATTATTGTATACCACAGAAGCAACCAAATTTCCTTGTCAATTGCATCTTTGATTATGGCTGCCCAAAGACATTTTGTCATCCACAATTGTCTTGTTTTGATCCTCTTCAAAGGATGGTTTATAATCAACTATAAGATTCTGATGAGTACTCTTTTTTTTTTTTTTTTGAGACGGAGTCTCTGTCGCCAGGCTGGAGTGCAGTGGCACAATCTCAGCTCACTGCAACCTCTGCCTCCCAGGTTCAAGTGATTCTCCTGCCTCAGCCTCCCAAGTATCTGGGACTATAGGCACGTGCCACCACACTCAGCTAATTTTTGTATTTTTAGTAGAGATGGGGTTTCAGCATGTTGGCCAGACTGGTCTTGAACTCCTGACCTCAGGTGATCCACCCGCCTAAGCCTCCCAAAGTGCTGGGATTACAGGTATGAGCCAACATGCCCGGCCTCTGATGAGTACTCTTAAATGCAGGTCTCTGATAACTTTGAAAAGTATGCCAATAAAATAGGAAAGAACTTCCAACACTCTCTTGAAAAACTAATGTATTCATAAATATTGAGCAAAATGGGAATTGCATAAACTGAATAAAACACTGAAATAATCTGTTTATGACTTTCTACTTAAAATGTTGCCCATCCTTTCTGTTTTGTTTTTCAGAGTCAAGAAAACTTTTCTTTTGAGCTATTTACAGTTTTTATTAGGTTGATGCAAAAGTAATTTCTGTTTTGCACTGCTGGAATTTGCTGTTTGATATTGCAGTACATTCTTAAATAAATGTCGTTATGTTATAGGTCATTTTAATGGGCATTTCTCACTTTATGTGTTTTTGCTAATGACTTACTACTTGCTGTTTATCTTTATTTTAGACTACGGAAATGACATTAGACAAAAAGCAAATTTGAGCGATTTTCGTATCAAAGTTCGAAATGGGTCATAAAGCAGTGGAGACAACTCGCAACATCCACAATGCATTTGGCGCAGGAACTGCTAATGAACTGACAGTGCAATGGTGGTTCAAGAAGTTTTGCAAAGGAGACAAGAGCCTTGAAGATGAGGAGCACGGTGGCCAGCCATCAGAAGTTGACAACGACCAGTTGAAAGCGATCGTCAAGGCTGATCCTCTTACAACTACACGAGAAGTTGCCAAAGAGCTCAACATCAACCATTCTGTGGTCATTCAGCATTTGAAGCAAATTGGAAGGGTAAAAAAGCATGGTAAGTGGGTGCCTTATGAGCTGAGTGAAAATCAAAAAAATTGTCATTTTGAAGTGTCATCTTGTTTTATCCTACACAACAACAACAAACCATTTCTCAATCAGACTGTGATGTGTGATGAAAAGTAGATTTTATGCAACAACCGGTGACAACCAGTTCATTGGCTAGACTGAGAAGAAGCTTCAAAGCACTTCCCAAAGCCAAATGTGCACCAAAAAAGAGCTCACGGTCACTGTTTGGTGGTCTGCTGCTGGTGTGATGCACTATAGGTTTCTGAATCCCAGCATAACCATTATATATGAGAAGTATACTCAGCAAATCAATGAGATGCCCAGAAAACTGCAACACCAGCAGCTGGCATTGGTCAGTAGAAACGGCCCAATTCTTCTCCATGACAACGCCCAACTACACATCACACAATGCCTCAAAAGTTGAATGAATTGGGCTACAGAGTTTTGCCTCATCTGCCATATTCACTTGACCTCTCGCCAACTGACTACTACTTCTTCAAGCATCTTGACAACTTTTTTGCAGGGAAAACACTCCCACAACCAGGAGGATGCAGAAAATGTTTCCCAAAAGTTTGTCAAATCCCAAAGCATGGATTTTTATGCTACAGGAATAAACTTATTTCTCATTGTCCAAACTGTGTTGATTGTAACGGTTACTATTTTGATTAATAAAAATGTGGGGCCAGGCGCAGTGGCTCACACCTGTAATCCCAGCACTTTGGGAGGCTGAGGCAGGCGGATCACATGGTCAGGATATCAAGACCATCCTGGCTAACAGGGGGAACCCCATCTCTACTAAAAATACAAAAAATTAGCTGGGCATGGTAGCAGGCACCTGTAGTCCCAGCTACTCGGGAGGCTAAGGCAGGAGAATGGCGTGAACCCAGGAAGTGGAGCTTGCAGTGAGCCGAGATCATGTCACTGCACTCCAGCCTGGGCAACGGAGCGAGACTGTCTCAAAAAAAAAAAAAGTGTTTGAGCCTAGTTATAACGATTTAAAATTCATGGTCTGAAATTGCAACTACTTTTGCACCAATTGGGTAAAGTGTACTCCTGTAAACAAAATTTGAAGCATATTTCTTTCTCTCTATCTGATTTCTCCAGAATTTGGAAATTATTTGTATTTGTAATTTATGGCAATATAATTATTTGCATAAGTACAGTAAGAATCTGTTTTCTTTTGTAACAGGGCCCAGTTGGAGAAACTGGTTATTTTACCAAGGCTTTGACTGAAATGGCATGCTTTCAAATATAAACAGGCTTCTTTAAGGAATCAAAGTTGACTTACAGAGCCAATAAAAGCTCCTTGGGAAAACTGGCCTCATGCCTTGTCTACACAGTCCCTGCATAGGGTTCTTGACCTGTGGTAAGTAAAGAATGTCACTTTCTGACAGGCTCAGGAGGCCCAGGTTATCTTGGGACCCTGAAAGAAGGAAACAATTTATCCAACTCACACAGGTATTTGCAAGCACAAACCCCTGGCTGGGCTCAAACCTTTAATAAGAAGTCTACTCTAAGATTCCTTACGGAAGAAAGTTCCATCAAAGCCAACTTAAAAAGAGCCTATACAGCAAAAATTATTCTTGCTGCACTTTATACAAATAATCAGGCCAGGTATAATAAGACTAAAGTTTATTTTGCAAACAAATCAAGCCTATCATGCTTTGTCTTTAGTAAAAATGGGAGACTGGAGAGAGAAAAACTATGTTTCAATAACTATAGTACACCTGTTACTAGAACCTAGCCTTGTCTGTTGTTTTTGAGTTTTTCCCTGCAATTTAGACTGACCCAGCTTATTCCTGTGAACCAACCAGTGACCTCTGGATGCAAGCTCAGAAGAAACAAGAGGGATAGGTAATGTAAAAATCTGGATCAATATTGTAATTCTAGGCACATATTAGAATCAGCCACTCCAAGTCTGCTTAGTTCCAACAATTGCCCAGTTCATGGAAAGCCTTCTTATTTAGTTTACTTGAGATAATTTTACTTATTTTGCTTTACTCTTGTGGAATATACTGTCATTGTGCTCTTTGTGTAAGAATGCAGAATAAGTTAACTCAATATTTTATTAAATTGAACACTTATTAGTCTTCCAAATATCACCTTTGGTCAGAACTCAAGAGTTATGAATGGCCCTCACCATATGGATGCTTTCTGACCAAGCATCTCTCTACCGTGAATACAAGAGATGCTAATAGTTGGGCGGGAATATCATCACCCCATTCAGCCTAAGGAAGAGAAGATGGATCTTCCTCCCTCTACAACCCTTAGAATTAAAATTTCCTTGTAAAAGGGAAGGAGAAAATAAGTCAGAGGTATTTGAACCACAGCAACTCCATCTTGAATAGGGGCTGGGTAAAATGACCTGCTGGGCTGAATTCTCAGGAGGTTAGGCATTCTTAGTCATAGGATGAGATAGGAGGTTAGCAGAACTGGTATCAGAAGATACAGGTCATGAAGACCCTGTTGATAAAATAGGATGCAGTAAAGAAGCCAGTCAAAACCCATCAAAACCAGAATGGTGATGGAAGGGACCTCTGGTCATCCTCACTGCTTATTATACATTTATTGTAAAGCATTAGCATGCTAAAAGACACTCCCAGCAGTCCCATGACAGTTTACAAATGCCAGGACTATGTTCAGAAGTTACTCTGTATGGTCTGGAAAAGGGAGGATGCATCAGTTCCAGGAAATCCCAACCCCTTTCCTGGAAAACTCATGAATAATCCACCCCTTGTTTAGCATATGATCAAGAAATGACCATAAAAACAGCCAACCAGCAGTCCTCGGGGCTGCTATGTCTATGGTGTAGCCATTCTTTGTTTATTTACTTCTCTAATAAACTTGGGTTCACTTTACTCTGTGAACTTGCCTTGAATTCTTTCTTGCACAAGATCCAAGTACCCTCTCTTGGGGTCTGGATCAGGACCCCTTTCTGGTAACAATATCATGTTGTGTTTTTTTCATAATTTATAGCAGCATTTACTTATCTGTTTCTCTATAATCTAAATTGAGAAACCTTTGACTTTCTGTATACTTCAGAAAATTTATAAAAAGAAAATATGTTCATAGGTATCACATGCACAGAATGGAAACACTTAGTAAACATAATAAATGTTTTAGTTTTCTGAGCAAGACACTTCTCACCATTAGCTTAGAAATCCCAAATGGATGTATGGATAAGTTGCTTTCCATTTTTTCCCAAAGTCTTATGGAAGAGGAGGAAAGCAATGAAAATATTTAAATTGCTGTGTCTAGGCTATTAAGACTATCTTTTTCTGGTAAGGAAAACTCAATGAGCAGAACAAAAAAGAGAAGTGTGCCGGGGAATGGAGTAGAAGCCATAGAAACTAGCATAATCACCCTTATTACAATCTCCTAAATTATGCAGGCCATAATCTCTGACCATGCAGTATTAAAGGCAGGCAGACTCTCATATGTCCCTAATACTCTTAATCTGCGTAATTCTCCTGGGTCCAAGCTGCCATCGTTTCTCACTAACTGGCCAACAGCCTCCTACCTGGTCACTCCAAATCCATACTGGCCACCTTCCAAGCCTCTTCCACACAGCAGCCAGAGTAATTTTTCTAGAAAGCAAATCTGATCATGTTTCCATTGCTCATTAAAAGCCTTCCCTGAGACTACTGCTGTAGCAAGATTGCTTCACATGGCATAAATGAGTTTCACTGAGAACCAGAAGATGCACTGCACTGCAGCCTTCACGACCTGCTTCTAGCTCTTCAGACTGGCCATATCCCACCTACACATGCTCTTCCCTCTAGCTGGAATCTCTTCCCTCCCATCTTACCTCCTACTCAGCTTTCAGATCTCAGCTAAAGTACCACTTCCTCACAGAAGAATTTTATGACCTTCCTAATAAAGTGAAACCCAACCTATCACAATACCTCATTTGAAACTCCTGAAGAAAACAGGAGAAAATCTTCATGGCCTCAGGTTAGGCAAAGGGTTCCTGAATATGACAGCAAAAGCATAACTCATAAAAAAAGAAAATAATAAAATGGACTTCATCAAAATTAAAAACTTTTAAAGCCATCTTCACAGGGTTAACAAGAATTCTGGACATAAACATAGTTATAATTAAACATTAATTAGGCTGCATCTTAAGCCACTTCCTTATAACCTAATGCCACATAACGTTAGATACTGACCATCTGTATACCCATTGTTCCTATAGACAGGATCTCTGATGTTAGAATCATAAGGCTTTTGTTTAAGAATTCCTTAAGCAAATCCTGAATTACAGTGGAAAAGCTGAAGCCAACCAGCTTGAAGATCCCCACAGAAGAGCCAAATCAGCATGAAAATACAGTTTCTTCATCTCTCTGTCCCATGACTTCACTCTGCACTCTTTGACTAATCAATGATCCCTACACTCGGTCCACTCCAAAACCTTTAAGAATCCTAGCCCCAGCTGGGCGCAGTGGCTCACACCTACAATCCCAGCACTTTGAGAGGCTGAGGCTGGGCCGAGGTTCCCGCGGTGGAACACCTGAAGTCAGGAGTTCGAGACCAGCCTGACCAACATGGTGAAACCCTGTCTCTACTAAAAATACAAAAATTAGCCAGGTGTGGTGGCACATGCCTGTAATCCCAGCTACTCGGGAGGCTGGGGCAGGAGAATCACTTGAACTTGGGAGGTGGAGGTTGCAGTAAGCTGAGGTCATGCCACCGTACTCCAGCCTGGGCAACTTGGTCTCGGAAAAAAAAAAAAAAAAAAGAACTCTAGCCCCAAACTCCTCAGGGAGACCCCTTTGAGGTTTCCTCCCATCTCCTCATTTAGCGGCTCCACAAGTAAACCTTTTTCTGCTGTAACTCGGTGGCTCGGTATATTGACTTGCCATGTGCATCGGGCAAGGAACCTACTACTGTTACACTTTTGCCCTTCAAAATATATTACTGAGAAAATGAAAATGCACAAGTTGGGAGAAAATACTGTAAATCGTATATCTGATAAAGAACTTACACAAAATAAATTTTAAAAAACTCAACTCAATAATAAGACAAACCAATTAAGAAGCAGACAAAAAAAATTTTTCCTTTCTTTTTTTTTGATTTTTTTGAGACAAGGTCTCACTCTATTGCCCAGGCTAAAGTACAGTGGCACAATCTCTACTCACTGCAGCCTCTGCCTCCTGGGTCCAAGCGATTCTCATGCCTCAGCCTCCCAAGTAGCTGGGTTTACAGGCGTGTACTACCTCTCCTGGCTAATTTTTGTATTTTTAGTAGAGACAGGGTTTTACCATGTTGGCCAGGCTGGTATCGAACTCCTGACCTCAGGTGATCTTTCCGCCTCAGACTCCCAAAGTGCTGGGATTACAGGCATAAGCCCACCGTGCCCAGCCTAAGAAATAGGCAAAATATTTTAATAGTCATTTTACCAAAGAAGATACACAAATGGCTAATAAACACATTAAAACAGATGCTCAACATCATTAGTTATCACAGAAGTACAAATCAAAATCACATGGCTGGGCAAAGTGGCTCATGCCTGTAATCCCAGCACTTTGGTAGGCCATGATGGGCGGCTCTCTTGACCCCAAGAGTTTGAGACCAGCCTAGGCAATATAGTGAGACACCCAAGTAAACAAAATTAGCTGGGCATGGTTGTGTGTTCCTGTAGTCCTAGCTACTCAGGAGGCTGAGGTCGGGGGATCACTTGAGCTCAGGAGCTTAAGGCTTCAGTGAGCAGAGATGGCACCACTGCACTGTAGCCGTGACAGAGCAAGACCCTGTCTCAGGAAAATAAAAAGACAAAATTACATGGGATACCACATCACATCTACTACAATGGCTGTATTAAAATAGACAAACAATAAGTGTAGGCAAGGATGAGGAGAAACTGAAACCCTAATACATTGCTGGAGGGAATGTAAAATTGTAAAAAGTCACTCTGGAAAATGGTTTGTCAATTTCTTTGAAAAGTTAAACATAAACTTATCATAGAATCCAGCAATTCCTCTCCTAGGAATCTACGCAAGAGGATGAAAACATGTGCACACAAAGGCTTGCACAGGAATGTTTACAGTAGTACTTTTTTAAATAGCCCCAAACTGAAAACAATCCAAATGTCCATTAACTGGGGAATGGATAAATAAAATGTAATATATCCATACGATGGGTACCACCAGAAATAAAAAACAATGAAGTACTGATATAGTCTATAATATGGATGAACCTAGAAAATATTATGCTAAGTGAAAGAAGCCAAATACAAAAGACTATACGTAACATAGGATTCTGGACATTTATATGAAATGTCTAGAAAAGGCAAATCTATAGAGACAAAGCTGGTTATGCTTATCTGGGGCTGGGGTTGGGAGCTGGGATTGACTGAAACTAGGCAGAAAGGAATCTTTTTGGGGTGATGAAATATTCTAAAACTGGATTATGGTGATGAGAGCACAACTCCTTAAATTTCCTAAAAATCACTGAATGGTACACTTAGAATGGGAAAATTTATGGCTTGTAGATTATACCTCAATAAAACTGTTTGAAAACAAAAATCTCATGTGACCATGTAGTTCGTGTTAGCACTTATTGTGAAGTGTTCAGCATATTAAACATTCAGAGGAGAAATACAGAGTACTCTGCAAGCATTTTGCTTCTTTACTAAGAGGCAGCCTCATGCAGTAGAAAGATCACAGGCTCTAAAGCCAAGACTGAAAAACAAACATAAAATTCTTCACGCCTGTAATCCCAGCACTTTGGGAGGCCGAGGCGGGCGGATCACGAGGTCAAGAGATCGAGACCATCCCGGCTAAAACGGTGAAACCCCGTCTCTACTAAAAATACAAAAAAATTAGCCGGGCGTAGTGGCGGGCGCCTGTAGTCCCAGCTACTTGGGAGGCTGAGGCAGGAGAATGGCGTGAACCCGGGAGGCGGAGCTTGCAGTGAGCCGAGATCCCGCCACTGCACTCCAGCCTGGGCGACAGAGCGAGACTCCGTCTCAAAAAAAAAAAAAAAAAAAAAATTCTAAGCCCCCCAAATGATTGAATGGATCCACCTTCTCAACCAAGGGGATTCCAAAGAAACCTGAAAGGCCAGTTTAGGCCACCATGGGAAGAGGGGGTCAGGCATGCCTCATCATACCTTCTTCATTCTGGAGTTTAGACAGGCTGACCAGCACTAACTTTAAAACACAGATCCTAAGACAGACAGAACAAACTCTTTGCAGCAATAAGATACCACTCCAACCTGACTCTAGCATAACCTCACATGACAGATAAAGAAGGAAATAAAATATTTTATCCCAAAATATGTTTCTTTGGCATATTTTGAAATGACCCTGCAAAGCTACCTTTTGTGGGGGAAAATCTGCATCTGGAATGAATCTCCTTTTTTTTTTTTTTTTTTTGAGACCGTCTCTCTCTATCGTTCAGGATTGAGTGCAGTGGCATGATCTTGACTCACTGCAACCTATGCCTCCTGGATTCAAGCAATTCCCCTGCCTCAGCCTCCTGAGTAGCTGGGATTATAGGCACCCACCATCCTGCCTGGCTAACTTTTGTACAGACGGGGTTTCGCCAGTTGGCCAGGCTGGTGTTGAACTCCTGACCTCAGGTGATTCGCCGGCCTCAGCCTCCCAAAGTGCTGAGTTTACAGGCGTGAGCCATTATGCCCAGCCTGAATGAATCCCTATTAACATAACTAGGTCTTTCCCCTTCCAGACCCTCCCAATCCTGAAGAGTTTAACTGAGAGTATAGCACCTTTTAAAGGTCTAAATGGAAACATTTGCCATCTATTGTCATCTTTAGCGTAGCCACCTATGAGTCTTCATCTAAACACTAAGAATCTTAGGCTGAGTGGGCTGAGTGCAGGGGCTCATGCCTGTAATCTCAACACTTTGGGAGGCTTAGGCCAGAGGATTGCTTGAGGCCAGGAGTTCAAAACAAGCCTGGGCAACACAGTGAGATCCTGTCTCTTAAAAAAAAAAAAATTAGATGGGCATGGTGGCAAATACCTATAGCCCCAGCTACTCAGGAGGCTGAGGTGGGAGGATTGCTTAAGCCTAGGAGTTTGAGGCTACAGTGAGCTATGATTGCACCACTGCACTTTAGCCTGGGTGACACAGCCAGATTCTGTCTCTCGGGAAACAAACAAACAAACAAACAAACAAACAAACAAACAAACCTTGGTCTCCACAACCCTTTATCTTAACCCAGATACTCCTTTAGATGATAACTCCTTCAACCAATTGCCAACCAGAAAATCGTACAATTCACGTATGACCTGTAAGCCCCCTCGCTTCACATTGTCCCATCTTTCTGGATCAAACCAATGTACACCTCACATGTATTGATTGATGCTTATATTTCCCTAAAATGTATAAAATCAAGCTGTAAGCCAACCACTTTGGGCACATGTCCTCAGGACCTTTTGAGACTATGTTTCAGGCCACGGTCACTCATATTTGGCTCAGAATAAACCTCTTAAAATATTTTATGGAGTTGGATTATTTCACCGACAAAACAATAATGTTAAAACTCCTGCTTCACCACTTACTAGCTGGGTAATTTTGGAAAGTTACTTAAAATCTCTCCAATTCAGTAAAATAGGAACAAGAACATTACGAGTTGCTATGCGGATTAATGATAATATATGTATAATATTATCATTAAGCCCTTGATGGGGTTCAGGACATGCTGCCCCAAAATATGGTACACCTTGGCATTTGAGAAAACAGCAGAATCAGGAAGGCCACTCTCACCTTCTCTGCCCTTTCCCTCTGAAATAGTCCATAAAATAATTCTCTAACTTTCCCCTAAAGTAGGTCCAAGATCCTCTTCAGAGAGGTATCTTCTGTATACCTGGAATAAAGGAATGTTCCTATCCCTGAAGAAAAGAATCTGAACAAACAGGTCTTCCTAAGTTCCCCCAACTCCCATTTATTACTGAGAGAATTTTAGAGATATCCTTTCGTCCTCCAATCATATTTCTCCATGCATCTCCACTATTCATCAAAGTTAACATAAAAATACATAGGTGTCCCTGTTTCTTTGTATCTTCATTTCTGAAGGCTCCCATGTCATGTAAAACTTATATTAAATAAATGTGTGTGCTTTTCTTTTGTTAATCTGCTTTTGTTTTAGAAGTCTCGGACACAAACTTTGTCATGGAAAACAAAAAGATACTACCATTGACCCTTGAACAACATGGATTTGAACTGGACAGGTCCATTTATACACGAATTTTTTTTTTCAATAAAAGTTATACCAAGTGTGCCTGCCTCTCCTTCCACCTCCTCTACCTTTGCCACCCCTGAGTCAGCAAGACCAACTCCTCCTCCTCTTACTCTATGTGAAAACAATGAGGACGAAGATCTTCATAATGGTCCACTTCCACTTAATGAATAGTAAATAATATTTTTTTGTCCTTATAATTTTCTTAGTTACATTTTATTTTCTCTAGCTTGCTTTATTGTGAGAATATAGCATATTATACTTATGACATACCAAATACATGTTAATCAACTGTTTATGTTATTGGTCAGGCTTCCGCTCAATAGTAGGCTATTAGTAGTTAAGTTTTTGGGGAGTCAAAAGTTATACAAGGATTTCCATTTGCCTTTGGGAATGGGGTCAGTCCCCTCAACCCCTGTGTTGTTCAAGAGTCAACTGTACTTTTTTCCCCTTACAAAGCCCTTTGAGATCTGGTGAAACCATCCTCACAGGCTAACAAGAATTACATGCCAAGTTCTGGGCAGAAATATAGTTATAATTAAACTGTAATCAGGCTGCACTTTGACCCACTTCCTTGTAACCAAAAGTCATATAGCACTAGACACTGACCATCTGCCTCCCCACTGTTCCTCTAGATAGGATATCTGACCTTAGAATCATAACGTTTTTGTTTAAGAATCATTTGCATCCCCACTGTTCCTATAGACAGGATCGCTGACATTAGAATCATAAACTTTTTAAAGAATTGCTTAAGATGTGCTTCAGACCCTGAATTACAGTGGTACAGCTGAAGTCAGCCAGTTAAGACCCCCCCCCGCCCGCCCCGACAGGAACGAAATCAGCGTGAGAATGCAGTTCTATCTCCCGTCCTATGACCTCACCCTGCACTCTTCAACCAATCAATGATCCCCAGACATCAGCCCACTCCAAACCCCTTAAAATCTCTAGACCCAAACTCCTCAGGGAGGCGATGTGCGGTTTCCTCCCATCTCCTCTTTCAGCTGCTCTATAATTACTAAACTCCTTCTCCACGGAAAGCCTTGGTGTCAGTGTAGTGACATGCCAGGCCTTAAGCAACAGACCTGTTAGGGTCACACCGGCTTCTGCTAACTTCTCCAGTCTCGCCACATTCCAGCCACAGAGGCCTTCTTTCAGTTTTCTCACACCTGCCAAGCTCTGTACTTCCTGAGAACCTCTGAACACATAGTTTCTTCTGCATAGAAATTTCGTGCCCACTCGTTACTCATATTGGTTCTCTCCTTTTTGTCCTTTAGTCTCAGACTTAATAGTCACCACGTCAGGTAGTCCCTGCCCTTTCTATACTCCTTGGTAAATTATGTCCCTGTAATAATGCTGATTATTGCTTGTAAACTCCCTCTTCTCACTAGACAAAACTCCATGAAGGTGTCCGCCCACCTCACTCTTCCCTTCTCCCTCCCTCTCACCCCTTCTCTGTATATGTGCATGCGTATGTATACCTGTGTGTACATACATCTATGTGTGTCTGTACACATGTTAAAATGTATGCCTACTATACAGGGGTAGACCTGCTAACCAGCAGAGTGCCTGGCATACAGTGGACAATCAACACCAAATTCTATGATTTACTTTTTGTTAAGGTTTACAGAAAAAAAAAAAAGACCATTTACCCACACTCATCAAAGCACCTTTCCCAACACTCCCAAGAGGACTGAGAGACTCATTTCTGTTCCAAAATGCATAGGTATATATTCTCATTAAAGCAACTATCTTACTGTTTTTCTGTTTCTTCCTTGTAGACTGCCAGCTTCTTGAGGGCAAGAATCTTTTCAATTTAATACACAGCCAAGTGGCCGTTTCCTGACTAGCAGTCACACATGTACTCTGAGTTCTCCAAAAGCCCACACCTCTGTTCAACTTTGAAACTTTCAGAGGTCACCTGAACGAACCCATCAGAACTCAGCTATATCAACCAGCTGGAACTAAGCAAGTTTGAATCCTGCATTTGCATAAATAAACCTGGCTGGGAACCAGGGTGAAACTTTTGTTATAAAACCCAAACCCCACCTTCGTTTTACACCAAAGGCTGTGTCTCCCTGTACTGCAAACTGTTCACTGCAATAAAGTCACTTTCCTTCAAATTTCTTTTCCGATAATTTTTGTTTACAGTACTCTGTTCTTCCTGGGAGTGCTTAAAAATAAGCTAATTATACTCACAGCTTTTTGTAAATTTTCACTTAAAGGGGGTAAAAGTTTTTGATAAAAAATAATATTTGAATAATATTTGAATGTAAACTAAGGTGGTATGCTAACTAGACAACAGGAAAATAAAGACCAATTCAAAACCACATACTTAGAAAATAAAAAATTAGTAAACTAGGTATTACAGAAATATAACATATGGTTTAACATCTATTTCACTCATTAATCTAACAAACCTGACATTAAAATATCTATCTTAATGGCATTAAGAAATTATGTTATTTTTAAGAATAATAATGGTATTCTGGCTATGTTTAAAACAGTCTTATTTTGTTAGAGGTATACATGAGATACTTACAGAGGAAATGACATGGCATATGGAATCAGCTTTAAAATATCGAGGTGGAAAGGGCACAGGCAGAGGTCCAGAAGACCTTCCACTGGCCATTTGTTGATTGCTGAATCTGGGTGATGGGGACATGGAGGTTCATCGTACTACTTATTCTCTCTATTGTACATATTTAGAAACTCTCATAACAAAAAGGGAAAATAAAGCTTTTAACTGCCTATACATAAAAGAAAAGATTTTGGCTGTCACAGTTCAAGTTCATTCAAAGAACTGTCAATCTCAATTAAAAGACTGAACAAGTATATCACCTGTCACATTAAACCTCACATTAATCTCTTTAAAGATTGTAAATCACAGATCCATGAAGAATTTTCCCTCCTTCTGTTCCTCTCTCCCGCCCTCTTTTAGTTTTACTATAATAACCACTGCTCTGGGGTTTCAGTAGCCAAGTGAGATCTTTTGCAAGATACTTGTATATTCACAAGACAGATGCACAGAATTCCACAGGTTTACTGACAAGTGACTGAAGGATGTCCAATGCATTACCTCTAGGCACTGTTCACTTCTGGCAGGCCTCCACTGGAACCCAGTATCAGCCCAAGCAAACCCCAGGGGTCAATTCATAGTATTGTCACTATTGACTGTCTTCCAGCTGCACTGTGAACTTCCTGGGGGCTAGACACTTGGTCTTAATCTTTACATCCTGCACTTAGACTTAGCAGGTACAGAATAAACTTTGAGGAATGAGGGAACAAATCTGTAAATCTCAAAGTTAGTGCTCATCCTAACACTAAATATCTTCAAATTTTTCCCAAAATTACTTTAATTCTACTATTGCACATTTGTTAATAAACTGTTTCTGAAACCACAGTTTGAGTTCTGAAGCCAATTTCCATGTGAATAACTACCTTAATTTATAAGCTAATAAATTATCTTAATTTATTGTTTTCATTAAAGAAAGTGACACCCTGTGGCTAATCAAAGATTTAGGAGTCACATAAACAGGAATTATAATTAGCATGAATTCATAATTACAAAGACCTTAACATTTATTCCATATTTATTGTATGGCTAGCACTGTTATTTCATTTTTTTCTCATACAAATGAGAAAAAAAACATATTGTTCCCATTTTATAGCTGAGCAAGTAGACTTCAGAGGTTAGGTTACTTGCCCAAGGACATGCAGCTATAAGTGATAAAGGTGAGTCAAACCCACCCAGTGTGTCTAACAGCTTTTCAGCAGCCTGAGTGATGGTCTTCCTTTCATGGTTGTAGCAGACTTCTCCCCACCATATGTATTTTGCACAGAAAACTCAGTTCTGTAACATGGAGAGGTTTCAACTTGATTTTTCTGTTGTTCCTATATCTTTATATATTACAAGACAAGAAACCAAACAATGGAAAACAAGTCACTTAACCTGTTTGCCTTGTCTCTGTAGTAATAATAGCTTACTCTTATATACAGCACTTCTACGTAAATACCAGGCACAGCTGTAAACCCTTTATGTGTATCAATGCAGTCTTTAAAGCAATTCAAAGATGTAGGTCCTATTAATCATTTTCATTTTTCAGAGAGGGAACTGAGGCTCAGAGAGGTGAGATAACATCCAAGCTAGCATTTCAGCACTCCCAGTCTGGCTCTAGATTCCATGTTCTTCTTTTTCTCTTTCTAGAGACAGAGTCTTGCTCTGTTGCCCAGGCTGGAGGGCAGTGATGTGATCGTGGCTCACTGCACCTTCAACCTCCCTGACGTAAGTGATCCTCCCACCTCAGCCTCTGGAGGAGCTTGGACTACAGGTATGCACCACCACAACCAGCTAATTTTTTAATTATTTGTAGAGACGAGGTCTCACTCTGTTGCCCAGGCTGGTCTCTAACTCCTAGGCTCAGGCGATCCTCCAGCCTTGGCCTCCAAACATATGGGGATTACAGGTGTGAGCCACCACACCTAGAATTCCATGTTCTTAATCATCTGCTACACTGCCTAATATGTACACATATATTTGGGTTAATCTAAAATACATGGTTTAAAGATTAAACCATGTTTATCCCCTAAATAGTAGCAAGGCTATTGTCCACTTACTTTTTTTTAGGTATGTTTTATAGTCAATATCAAAATCAAGAAAATTACAATGATCAACATTAGTTTACTGAAGTAGACATTGTTCTTTTACATCTTTATCACCATATAGAAAATTTTTGATACATGATATATACTGAAAAAAACTCAAAGACCATTTTAAACTCAATAATTAGATTTATCAAATCAATAACATTTCTGGGGCTAATTAACTCTAATAAGAGATTATATAAATTACAGTAAAGAGTCCATTGGAAAATCCTTAAAAATGAAAAACAGAGTATGGTCAGTCTATAAACAATACTAACTTTAACAACAGGAACAGAGGCTCCCAGCACTATTTTAAAAGACAAAGAAGCAGCCTTTGTTTAAAAGACAAGGGCGCAGTGGCTCACATCTATAATCCCAGCACTCTGGGAGGCTGAAGCAAGTGGATCACCTGAGGTCAGGAGCTCAGCCTGGGCAACAAGAGCAAAGTCTGTCTCAGAAGAAAAAAAAAACAAACAAAAGGAGAAGCTCTGCTCCTTTGTTTTCTGTTTTGTTTTGTTTTCGTTTGTTTGTTTTTTGAGACAAGGAGTCTTGTTCTGTCACCCAGACTGGAGAGCAGTGGTGCGATCTCGGCTGACTGCAACCTCTGCCTCCTGGGTTCAAGCAATTCTCTGCCTCAGCCTCCCGAGCAGCTGGGATTACAGGTGCCCACCACCATGCCTGGCTAATTGTTGTATTTTTAGTAGAGATGGGGTTTCACCATCTTGGCCACGCTGGTCTTCAACTCCTGACCTCGTGATCCACCCACCTCGGCCTCCCAAAGTGTCGGGATTACAGGTGTGAGCCACCGCGCCCAGACTCTCCTTTGTTAAAAGAAAATAAATACAGACGGTTAAGTATTTCACAGGTACAAACAGATCATGTCTCGGGAGATGCTCACATCTTCAAAATCGGAACAGATACACACACCAGAACCCCATGTGGATTCTCTGCATCACCACAAAAACACAAAGAGTTACAAGGAGAAAATGCAGAGGCTCCATAAATGGATGGTTTCCACAAGCACTGGCTGAGGGCCTACTGTGTGCAAAGTGGTACAACAGCTGCTAAAGACACAAACACTGGTGGAGGCATCCTTATTCATCTCACATCCTTAGCATGGGGCAGAGTAGACAGCAAGAACAGTAAACACAAGTCTTTCCTAGATGGATCACCGGATTTCAGTATATGCAGGAGTTGCCTGGGGGAAAGAAGACTCTCCTAGACAGAAGAATAAGTGAGGCTGAGCAGGGAAGGACGCACTATCACACGAGGGAGCTGTCAAGGTTCTGACATCTAAAGGTAAACACAGTACCATCCATATAATTTTAGATGCCTTGTTATTCACTTATTTCAGTTTGCTCTGAGCATATTGTTTTCACCAAAAATTATTCGAAGTGAATCTATTGTCACACTCTCCAGTGTGCACAGAAATAAACATTCCTCAGCACACAGAGCACTGCCCTCAGCAAGCTGTTCCGCTCAAATGCTCAAAAAACTTTTGTGGGGGAGGAGGAGGAGGACAGTGAAGTGTCTAATCATTCAAAGGAAGAGTTTCTCTGGAATTACTTGGTCATGAAAAAAACGCAAACCTACTTATTAGCTGGTGGTAGGACCCTCTAATATTTCTCTCAATTAAAACAAAGTGTCCCAGCTTTCCCAATATTCTTCAATCCAACCCTAAAACAAGAGTGACAGGTTTCTGAGTATGGTCGAATGTTTTCCACCAGTTATTAGTACTAATTTTTTCTGAACAGACAGTTGAAAACAGATTTATTTCACAAACATAAACATAATTTCCTGCTATATGTTCTCTGAATACAGAGCACTTGATACTGCCATACTAGCCCAAACTGTCCTATTCCAGAAACCAGTGATGTTTTCACTCTGTTCCTTCTACACAAACCGAATCCACTACAGGAAAGCCAAGCTGCGTGTGACTTTCATGAAAACCTTTTTTAAAAAACTTATTTGGGCTATTCCAGTGTTAAATTTGAAGGAAAAAAAGGTATACAGTAATATAATATAAACCTACTTACCACAAGTCTGAATAAACAAAACAAATTTGTTATTTAGGGTGTAATACAAGACAAAATCCTCTGAAGGTAATTATTAATGCTGAAACAAGACAATCTGAGAACAGACTGAATATGAGAGAAACTAACAAGTAAAAAAGAAAACCAAATAACCCACTCTTCCCTACCACGTTGCCACCATTCTCCAAAATCACTTGTTATGGGCAAGAGACCACAGAACAACTTCTCTTTAATTTTATGGTAACATTTCCAGTTGTAACTGACATTTTGTCTCACAAAGGAACAAATTAATGGAATCAGCAAAAGTTGCAGGGAAAATGTCGCTGCTGAAAAGTGACCCCTGGAAAAGAAGAAGTAGCTACCAGAGCTGTGGGACCTGGAGGCCAAAACAGCTTTCAGTGTGACATATGTTTTCTCTTTGAGTTTTATGAGAAAAACACTTTTCAAAATACTGTCTGGTCCAAGATACACTCAGCAAATTATACTCATGGAGGGGAAAAAACACTGTGCAGATAACCACAACTTAATAGGATGAATAGATGTGGGAGGTGCACCTCATGAGCTTTTGAGGGGGACCTCCCAGAAGAGGGAGAGATGGGGCAGTTTCAGAGGGAAACAGGAAATAGCCCTGTGAGGTGAAGAGCATAAAGAAATGGACTCCATGAAGAAGGGTCAGTGTGCACAAAAGCTGATGCAAGATGTTGCGCTACGTGCTGCTGGCCCATGAGCTGTGAGACACAGAGGAGGAGGAGACACAAGTATGGCCCTCGGGATGACTTTTGTCTACTATGGTAAAGAGCCTAGACTTAATCCTAGACCACAGTTTTCTAAGATATTATAGGCGAGACCATTTAGGTGGGCAAGGACAGTTTTATGTGTTTATGGTTGCTATTAACTTCTTTTTCCTTTTTTTTTTGAGACAGAGTCTTGCTCTGTTGCCCAGGCTGGAGTGCAGTGGCACTATCTCGGCTCACTGCAACCTCCACCTCCCGAGTTAAAGCGATTCTCCTGCCTCAGACTCCCGAGTAGCCGGGATTACAGGCACGTACCACCACGCCCGGCTAATTTTTGTATTTTTTATTAGTAGAGACAGGGTTTCACCATGTTGGCCAGGCTGGTCTCAAACTCCTGAGCTCAGGTGATCCGCCCGCTGTGGCCTCCCAAAGTGCTGGGATTACAGGCATGAGCCACCGTGCCCGGCCTATGGTTGCAATTAACTTCTATTCATGTCAAGTGATATTGGTTTTCCATTTATAATAATAAATGTATTTTAGGCTGGTAGCAGTGGCTCATGCCTATAATCCCAGCACTTTGGGAGGCCAAAGTGGGGAGATCCCTTAAGGCCAGAAGTTCGAGATTAGCCTGGCCAAAGTGGCAAAAACTCCATCTGTACTAAAAATTAGGTAGGCATGGAGGTGTGTGCCTGTAATTCTAGCTACTCAGGAGGCTGAGGCACGAGAATAGCCTGAACCCAGGAGATGGAGGTTGCAGTGAGCCGAGATCACACCACTGCACTCCAGCCTAAATGACAGAGCACAACTCTGTCTCTAAAAAAAAAAAAAAAAAAAAAGTTGTGAAAGTGAGGCTCAAATGACTGAGACATCGCTGTAAGAACTGGAGAGCCACTGGAAGAAAGCAAAGAGATACAACTCTGTTACAGAACTCCATCCACACAGACGACATGTATTGGGTGCTATGCCAATCACTATTCTAGGCCCAACAGATAGAGCAGAGAAAAGCCAGATAAATGTATGTTAGGTTTACATTTTAGACAAAAAAGAGGATCCAGGTCACAAATAAAATAAACCCAGGTAAAGAGAGAGAGAGAATGATATACAAAGTAAAATGTGGAGAGCCTTGAGAAAGCAGCAGAAGGGAACGAGCCAGGCCACCACCTACAGGAAGAGCAGGACAGGCGGTGGGAAAAGCTGGAGGCCTGGTTGGGCCTATGGGCCTGCTGGAGGGAGCAAAATGGCTGAGAGCTGCAGCAGAGGAGCCAAGGCCAGAGAGGGAGCAAAGGGCTGGGCCCTGCAGGGCCTCGCAAGCCAGGACTCGGGAGGTATTCCACATGTGATGGGAGGCCACAGAGAGTTTGGCACGAGGAGGTGATGCTCTCTCTGGAGGGTAAGTGCAGAGGCAGGAAGCCCAGGGAGGATGCCCGCACGGCAGCCCAGAGGAGAGACAACAGTGCCGAGTGTAGGCAGTAGTAGGGGAGGCAGGAAGAAACGGTGAGAGGCAGTTTGTGGGCAGCACTGGCTGGATTTACTGAAGAACTGATGTGTAAGGCAAGAGAGGACTCATGCAGCATTTTTGTTGATGTCTCTTATAGCCTAAGCCTGGGGATGAACAGCGCTATCATCTAATGAAATGGAGAAGACAGAAGAGCCAAGAAGCAGGCAGGATGAGACTCAAGACTGCAGATTTTGACAGGTTGAGTTTAAGATGCCAGTGAGCACCATCACAGGACTCTTGAGCGGAGAGCTGGATAAACCAGTCTAGAATTTAGGGGTGAGGCCAGGATTGGAGCCAATAGCATTGGGTGGTATTTAAAGCCTTGGGACTGAATAAGAATGCAGGAGAGAAAAGGCCCAAGGATTAACCCCAGAGGCACTTCAACATCTCCGGTGGGAAGGTAAAGAGCTTGGACTGAATCCTGAAGTGTAGTTCTCCAAGTGTAGTTTTCCAAGATATTGTAGCCAACATAATTTGGGTGGTAATGTCAGTTTTATTAGTCATGTGTTTACTTTTACAGGCAAAAGGGATTAAGGAAAAGAATAGTGAAGTATGTGGACAGTACGAACAACTGCCAGACGATTCTGCAGAGAGGTGAGCACTGATGGTGCAGAAGAGAGAGGACAACGCTGCCAGAGCAAAGCCCTTAGGCAGGAGAGAAGGAAGGAGTCCAGCGCCTACACTGAGGGGCTTGCTGTGGAAGCAGGGACAGTCCCCACGGTGCCAGCGAGGAAGCCAGAGTAAGCCGACGCTGGGAGGAGGGGGTGTTAGTGCAGGGAGCACAGAGCCCTTCTCTTCTGACTGCTTCCAGTTCCTCAGTGAAATCAGAGGAAAGCAATGAGGAATGGGATCAGGGAGGGGATGTCCCAGTTTGAGAAAAGAGCATTCTCCTAGTGCGCAGAGGGGAATGTACTAGGATTGCCAGCCTGGATGAAGGCTTTCTAGTGAATTGTGGACAACATCTGAAGTGAGAACTCAGGAAAGGATGTTATGTTTTCTTCTAGCTACATTCAGCTGCTCGGGGGCATACACCATGCAGGCAGGATGGAATTTAACCAATTACATTTTTTCCAGCAACAGAGGGAGAGAAAAGTAAGGAATTATTGCATAGTACTAAAAAAATTAATGACTTATATGGCAAAATATTGAGTGGTCATTTCATGCTGTAAATCAAAATAAGTTCTAGATTAAGTAGAGTTAAAGTAATAAGTAAACTATAATAAAAACTGGAAGAAATAACAAGCTAATATTTATTTCTTAGGATTGGGAGAGAATCTTCCATGCAGAAAAGCAATGGAAGGTATCATTAAAAATATTCATTTGATGCCCAAAAGGTATGTGAAAAAAATGCTCAACATCACTAACCATCAGGGAAATGCAAATCAAAACCACAGTGAGGTATCATCTCCTACAGTCAGAATGGCCATTATCAAAAAGACAAAGGGTAAGTGTTGGTGAGGATGTGGAGAAAGGGAAACTCTTAGACACTGTTGGTCAGACTGTAAATTATCTCAGTTGTTATGGAAAACAGTATGGAGGTGCCCCCAAAAAACTAAAAATAGAATTACCACGATTCAGCAATCCCACTACTGGATATTTACCAAAGAAAAGAAAATCAGTATTTTGATTAGATAGCTGCACTCTCATGTTTCTTGCAGCACTATTTACAAAAGCCAAGATATGGAATCAACTAAATGTCTATCGACAGATGAATGGATAAAGAAAATGTGGTATGTATACACAATGGAGTATTATTCAGCCATAAAAAAGAACAAAATCCTATCATTTTCAGCAACATGGATGAGCCTGTAAAACATTAAGTGAAACAAGCCAGGCATAGAAAGACAAGTATTGCATATTCTCACTCATATATGGAAGCTAAAAAACTTGACTGCATAGAAGTAGAGACTAGAATAGTGGTTACTAGAGGCTGGGAACGGAGAGTTAACCAGATGTTGGTTAACAAATACAAAATTACAGAGAGGAGGAACAAGTTCCTGTGTTCTATAGCACTGTAGGGTGACTATAACAATTTATTGTATATTTTCAAATAGCTATAAAAGTGGATTTTGGCCAGGTACGGTGGCTGACGCCTGTAATTCCAGCACTTTGAAGGCCAAGGCGGGCAGATCATCTGAGGTTAGGA
Organism: Homo sapiens; assembly: GCF_000001405.40. NCBI lineage: Eukaryota > Metazoa > Chordata > Mammalia > Primates > Hominidae > Homo > Homo sapiens. The sequence continues at coordinate 15,579,599 of NC_000006.12, forward strand.
GTTTGAGACCAGCCTGGCCAACATGGTGAAACCCTGTCTCTACTAAAAATACAAAAATTAGCTGGGCATGGTGGCAGGCGCCTGTAATCCCAGCTATTTGGGAGGCTAAGGCAGGAGAATCACTTGAACCTGGGAGGCGGAGGTTGTGGTGAGCTGAGATCGTGCCACTGCACTACTCCAGCCTGGCCGACAGAGTGAGACTCCCTCTCAAAAAAAGAAAAAAAGAAAAGAGTGAATTTTGAATGTTCTCAATGCAAAGAAATGTTTGAGGTGATAGATATGCTAATTATCCTGATTTACTCATTACACATTACATATATGTATCAAAACTTTACAGTGTACCACACAAATATGTACAATTATGTGTCCATTTAAAATAATAAAAGCAAAACAATTCATTTGAATAAAAAATATTACACTTCTGTGTGTAATAACCACGCAAAATTAAAAGGCAAATAATTAGTTGAAGATAAATATCTGCAATAAATATGACAATTTGAAACCCTTAATATGTAACCCCTTCATTCAAATCTACAAGTACACTAAAACTGCAACTGAAAGCAGCCAGAAGCAAAAACAGTTCATAACAACAATAAAAAGCCGATAAATCACATTTTACCTCCCGTCACACCTCAAACAATAATCAAATTTTATTTTTGCTTTCATATTAGTAAAGACAAGAAAAAAATACTCAGGTGAGGGTCTATGAAATAGATAAAGTCACAGACATTGCTAATGAAAGTATAAACTGGAACAACCCTTCTAAAAAGCTAACGATGAATACACACCAAGAGCCTTAAAAAATGTAATACACTTAGGCTGTAAAAAATTGTGGCCCTATCTATGTACGTATAGAGATGCTTATTACAGCACAAGTTATGCTTAGCATAAAACTGGCAACTACCTAAATTTCCAACAATAGGAAAACAGTATGTTAATGACATGAGGCAATGCTCATTTCATAAGGGGAAAAAACAGGAAACAAAATTGTTTGTATGCTATTCCAATTTTGGATGATATGTCTATATATGTGTGTGTGTATATAAACCTCAAAAATGTTTGAGGCTATTGCAGACTAGTGATTCAATTTTTTTCCCAGAAGCTTTTTAAATTTTCCTGTCTTCAATGGGGATGCATTGCTTTTACAGTTATTTTAAAAATAAAGACTAGGGGCACTTTCATGTTAAAAAGATCTGGGCATTGTAGTTAAACATGAGCTGACTGGCAGAAAAGGTGACTAAAAAGCTATAGTCACAGTCACCGTTTCTAGAAGACTGTGCAGGTACAAACACCATTTTTATATGGGGTATTGGAAAACTAGCATGGGTCTAGACAAGAATGACCAGGAGAATAAAGCATCTACAATCAGCTACCACGAAAAGAAAAGGTCAAGGAACTACAACTCTGAAGCCTTAGAAGGTTGGTAGAGAGTGTGAACTGTCAACACACCACGTAAACACCTTCAGGACTGCTCATAAACGGACTCTACATGGGACGAGGTGTTGGATGACAGGACTTCAAAGTTTTTCTAAGATACAATGGCTAGAAAGAAGTAGAAAAGGGGAGACTGCCAGAAATTCTTTTTCTGTTTTCTTTTTTTAGACGGAGTCTCACTCTGTGGCCTAGGCTGGAGGGCAGTGGCTCCATCTCGGCTCTCTGCAACCTCTGCCACCCAGGTTCAAGCAATTCTCCTGCCTCAGCCTTCCGAGTAGCTGGGATTACAGGCACCTGCCACCACGCCTGGCTAATTTCTGTATTTTTAGTAGAGACAGGGTTTCACCATCTTGGTCAGGCTGGTCTTGAACTCCTGACCTCGTGATCCACCCGCCTGGGCCTCTCAAAGCGCTGGGATTACAGGCATGAGCCACCGCGCCCGACTGTTTTTTTTTTTTTTTTTTTTGAGATGGAGTCTCGCTCTGTCACCCAGGCTGGAGTGCAGTGGTGAGATCTTGGCTCACTGCAACCTCTGCCTCCCAGGTTCAAGCACTTCTCCTGTCTCAGCCTCCAGAGTAGCTAAGACTACAGGAGCATAACACGCCTAGCTAATTTTTGTATTTTTAGTAGATACAGGGTTTCACCATGTTGGCCAGGCTGTTCTTGAACTCCTGACCTCAGGTGATCCACCTGCCTTGGCCCCCCAAAAGTGTTGGGATTACAGGCATGAGCCATCGCGCCCAGGCAGAAATTCTTTTAAAACTGTTACGCAGAAATCAGCATCTGCAATAGAGAAGATTTGACTTTAAGAATGGTCAAATATTTCCTGTCCAAGGGGGACACAGTGTGCAGAGGGGAGCTAGAGGCCTTACTAGTCTTTCTTCTAATCCTGCCCTGAGCTTCAACCCACATCTCAAATTCAGAGGAATCTTTCCAGGGTTCTGCAGCATAAATCAGCATCTTTTTTTTTTAAACACTGGGTTTTATTCTTAGAATAGCCCTGTATTAAAGGAGCATTACACAGCAAGACCAGGAAGCAGTTCAAATACAGTTAAAGATGAAATCTCAATATGCTACTTAGCTATTCAAAGTTTGCGGTATAGAAAGAGAATGGGGGAAAGGGACTGGATATAAATGCAATACCTAAAGAACACTGAACACTATGGAAACTCAAAACTTGTCTAAATTCTATTGTTTACATTTTAGCACGTCCCAGGAATGACTGTGGTGAAGTGAGAAAAACACAGGTTTTGAGGGCAGACGTTCCTGGGTTTAAATCCCTGCTGAAATGCTTACTAGCTGGGTGACTTGTTTAACTCTCTAAGTCTCAATTTTCTCATCTCACAGGGTTGTTTTGATACTACTTGAGATACTGTGGTACTAACTATGAAATGCAAAGTACAGAGCTAACACATGTACATGCCTAATAAGTAGTTTCTTTTCACTAATTTATTAGAGTTTTAATAGAAATAAACAGAATTATACTTATATACCTATAATGGTATGACTGATATTCTGTGCCACATTAATTTTACTAAATGAAAGAAAAAAATCCTGGTGGTTATTTATTTTTTGATCACATCATTGCAATTACTACGATAATTCTTATTACATATACTTTTATTTTCAGTTAAAAATAAACATAATTAGAACTGATGAGTCATCTTCATGTAGTAAGTTTCTGACTGTTCAATTCCATTTTATCTACCATAGTATTTATTTCATAGGTTTTCAAAACTGGAATTAGAGACTTGAAAGTGAATAGCATATTATTAAGTATCCTATGCTACTCTTTTATACAACACTTTAAATGATTCTTAAGAATACAAAGGGATATTAAATAGTTCAATATTATTCCAATGCTTCTTTAGTTATTTCCCCTATCTTAGGGTAAACACCATTTTCCTTCTCAAATAAAAACAAATTAGCCAAATTTCAAATGCTGATTCATTTTATTTTATTTTAGAGACAGGGTCTTGCTCTGTTGCCCAGGCTGGAATGCAGTGGTGCCATCATAGCTCACTGCAGCCTCAAACTCCTGAGCCTCAAGTGATCCTTCCACCTCAGCCTCTCAAGTAGGTAGGGTTACAGGTGCATGCCACCATGCCCGGCTAATTTTTAAATTTTTTTGTAGAGCGGGGGTCTCATTATGTTACCCTGGGCTGGTGTCAAACTCCTGGTCTCAAGCGATCCTCCTGCCTCGGCCTTCCAAAGTGCTGGGATTACAGGTGTGAGCCACTGCTCCCACCCATATACTTATATTTATGCTATAGGCATACCTTTACAGGGAAAGCCAGATGAATATTTAAGTAGGAGTGAGAGTTTCTCAGCTCAGTTGGCCACTTGACTTCTCCCCTACTCTAGAAGTTTATAAAAACCATTAGGCAACTACCAATCTTCTGAGAAAAGTACAAACTCCATCCCAGTTGCCTTCAACAGTTTAATCAGCAGAGCTACAAGATCCCACAGGTTATTTTCCAGCACACACCTCTAAAAAGCTAAGACAAAATCATGAAGCTCCATATGAATTCAACAGACAAAGTCTCTTGTTAAGGCTGACAGCTAAAATTTTCAAAGATTTCTTTTTGTGGTTTTAAAATTTAGTTTTCTGAAAGGTATAATTTTTGCTGTCAAGTTATACCATGTTCCAGCAAAAAGGTAATGAAACAGAATAGCTGTATTTATTCATGATACCAAACATTTATGATAGACAACAAAACGTTGTCCTGATTCACTTCTAAAATACTCTATTGCTATAATTATTGATCATACAATGGTGGTATATGATCATTACAAGAAATCCCAGAAAAGTAACATTTAAGCATCACAACCCTAATCTTGATGCTCTATTTTTATGTAGTTTAATACCTAAACAAGCTGTTAAAGTGCCAATTCCCCTTCAATATAGAACATCGTCTTAGAGAATTTCAGGTCATGCCCAGTATGACAACTTAAGACATGGTATTAGAATAAACAATCAACTCCGTCTTAGAAATAAACTGTCTTAGAGCCAAAATTAACAAACAGGATATAAATATTTTGGTATTACAGGATATAGATACTAACTTTATTTAAACACTGTTACATAAATATAAGCCAGCTTTTAAAAAAACGAATATACACTTAACATATATTGACATATGAGAAAAAGATGAGCAGACACCTCAAAAATCTTGCCAGTATTTACCAACAAATCATGATTTTCAAGGAGCAATTTCTTAGATGAATGATCTAAAATATTAAAATTGAATATCAGATTATACCTATATGCAGATCTTTACTCTTAGAACCATTATTTAAGATAATGACTGAGAGAAGAGAAAATATGTCATTTATCATACATTCCCTATAAGTAAATACTTTAAAAATAAATGCCAAAGTTCTCACTGATAAGTTTTTTCCTGAACACTTAATAATGAATAAGAATGTGGTAAAACCTCTAGTTAGAATTTGATTCCATTAATGCTCCAATTTTATAATGAATTCCTGAGCTATCATTTTACTTCTGTTAATATGTCTATCTAAGCTTGAAAGGTTTTGCTATGTTATACATACACAGGCGTGAGAGAGGGACACAAAGAAGGAACTTTTCTCTTAAGTTTGATATACCTTATTCAAATTTGTAATATTAAAAAGAGAATAACCTTGATAGATGAGAGACAACATGTATTTCTTTTTTTTTTTTTTTTTTTTTTTCATTTACAGAGAAGTGGCTTCTACCTGACAAGGCATGATGTATATAACATGCCATAACGTATGCCAACTAAAAGAAATAACAGGGAGTTTTAAAAAATGCAATCACTATTAAAAATTATTCCTCAGTTACCACCCCCATGGATAGTACAATAAATTACTCAACAAAAAATGCACAGTTAATTTTTCAGGTATTTTTTGCAGTAAGTTCCACAACTTCAATATCCTTATATATGTATTTATATATATATATAAATACCACACAGAGATGTCATTAAAACCACAGCCTCTGGCTAACAGATAAGGAATACACTGAAGTTATATGAAATTATGAAAAGAATATATATATATATATATATATATATATATATATATATATATATATATTCAACCTGTATGAAGCATTATGACATTTTTCAAAATCCATATTGAAAATCAGCCATTTTAGATAAATCCATATAGTACCATAGAATGAATTTTAACTTTATACTATCTTTGGATATGGCTCACATATTTAACTCTATTAACTGCCTCTTGGAAAATGAACATACTAGCAGCAAGGGATGCCGAATTAGTTTTATGGAGCTGTACCAGCCTCATTATTCAAATAGCTAGTATTATTTTCCTGGTATTTTATATTTATCTTTTAATACAAATATTGCTTCATAAAAAATGTCAGTTTGATTAATTTCACCTGATGCATGAAAAGACACATATTGTAAAAAAAAAAAAAAGTCCTACATTTCCATGCAACATTTTAAACTTATTTTAGGTATTAATTTAGTAATTATTACTTGTTGGTAATAGAAAGAACTAATAATGCTCTCATAAAAATGTACTACTTGTAGGTTCAAGTCAAGTTGAAATTTAATTTCTGCTTTTTAATAATATATCATCTGCATACCATGCAAATACAGCAATGTATCCAGGCATGGAAATAAACATTTCAAAGGAAAGCAGCAAAGGAAAAACAGAAAATAAAGTTCCACCTACAGGGATCCCTCTGACTATTTTCGGTGAGTCCTGGAGATGACATGGATGTGAGACCTGAAGGAGTGAACAGAAGCTCAGTGCTGGTCAAGTGAAGCCTCCAGTTACCAGGCAGCTGCCCTCACGTGCATCTTCTGGGATGTAGAACAAAGGAAGTGAGGCTGAAGCCAGAAGCAGGTTTTTCCAAAGAAATTGTAGTAAGCCTATTAGTTTTTTGCTGATGGCTTAAGCAGATATACATTGGAATCTACTGCCTCTATAAAAGCAAAATGCAAGCTCTCAGGGGCTCTAGTGTGCAAAGATGTATGCACCGGTCTGGGACCATACCAAATGCAGCTCAAAATGGAGGGGAGGGAAGGCTGAAAATAACTAAATCCAACAGAATTTGTCATCTAGGTACAAAGATGCTTTAGTAACACAGCAAAAGAGAGATGAAATCTTGCTGTTTGAAAGTAGTAACATAAAAATTAAAAATATAGTTCATTTCATAACACACAAGGCATCTATAATTTTCCCCTACCTCATTTTTAATGTAGCATTAGCCTAAAGGTTTTTTCAAATTCAGCAACACTAACCAGTGGCTTGGAATGTGCTATATATTTTTAATAAGTATCTTAAGTCATCAATTCTAATAGTTACAAACACTTCTCCACAAATTTTTCCTTTTTGAAAATAGTATGGTCTAAATCCCACTCCCGCTGGTCCCCTCTGAATCACAGCTCCATCAATCAGCCACTCTCACTGTATCTTCAACCTCTCCCTCTCTATAGCTTCTGTTCCTTTTTCATACAAATATACTCAACTTCCTCCCAAAATTAAAAAAAAAAATCCTCCCTTCAACCTAACTCTCTCCTCTAACTATTCTTCTTTCCTTCCTTTAGCCTTAGCTTTTGAAAGCATTGTCTCTACTCCCTCATTCATTTAAATATTTAATAAGCACCAAAGTGCCAAGCACCTGAGTCACAATGGTGAACAAGGCAGAACAGTCCACTCATTCCAATCCTCTGCCATCTGGTTTCTACCCCCAGCACCCCCACACACAAACCCATGCTGCTGAAAGTGTCCTCATTAAGATCACCAATTAGCTTCTCAGGCTATATTTCAGTTTGCCTTCTCCACAACAATATGACACTGCTTCTTGACATGTCCTTGAAATGTTCTCCTTATCACATTTTCCTCTTTGCCTCCACTATGGGCAACTAGCTCTCTTCTCGTGCCTGTCTGGTGAATGTTGGTGCTTCCTAGATTTCTATGCATTGTCAACTTTTTTTCATTCTGCCCTGTTGTTTGTGGGCAACGTCATCCAAACCCCGGGCTTCCATTCCCACCTACATGCTGGCTACTCTCAAATCTAGCTCAGATCCTTCTCCTGAGGTTCAACAGCCCATTGGACACTTCCACCTATAATGTCTTACAGATACTGCAAATTTAACATGCTCATGGTGAAATTCACTCAATAAGAATGAAATATTAAGGAATAAATTTAAGACTCACATATTGAAAACAACAAAACTGCTTAGAAAAACTGAAGATGGCTTAAACAAACATGGATACATTCCATGTTCATGGATTGAAAGACTCACTATCATTAAGATGACAATTTTCCCCAAATTGATCTATACATGCAACACAACCATCCCTATTCAAGTCTCAGTAGGCTCTTTCCTTTGTTAGAATTGTCAAAATGATCCTAAAATTTATATGAAAAGACGAAGGACCTTAAATATTAAATAGTCAAACCAATTTTAAAAAGTAGTAGGTTGGAGGACTTAGACGTCCCAATTTCAAATCTTACTACGAAGCTACACTAGTCAAGGCAGTGTGGCACTGGCAATAAGGAACAAAGTTGAGAGTTCAGAAAAAAACTCTTACATTATGGTCACTGGTTTCCTACAAAGGTGCCAAAGCAATTCAATGGGGAAAAGAAGCTCTTTTCAAAAAATAGTTCTAAGGCTTGTGAGGGAGACTTCGGGCATGGTGCAGCCTAGAGCCCCAAGGTCTGCCAAAAAATGGTTCTGAGACAACTGAATATCGATACGTAAAAAAATGAAGGTAGACTTTTAACTCACACGAACACAAGGCTTAACTGAAAATGGATCACAGACCTAAATGTAAGAGCTAACTAGTGTTGTCAAGGATGAGGAGAAACTGCAGCCCTCACACACTGCTGATAGGAACGTAAAATGGTACAGCCATTTTAGAAAACAGTTCAGCAGTTTCTCAAAAAGTTAAACACAAACTTGTCATACAATCCATATATTCTAGTCTTAGCTATATACCCAAGATAAATAAAAATGTATGTCAACACAAAGACTTGCATAAGAAAGTTGATGGCAGCATTATTCAAAATAGGCAAAACCTGGAAACAATCCAAATGTCCATCAGCTGCTGAGTGGATAAACAAAATGGGGTATATTCATACAATGAAATATTAATTCAGCAATAAAAAGGAACAATATAGTGACTTTTTATTCTACTCAGTTTCCTGAATCTGTGTCTTTCCCTCCATTCTAGCAATGGCTGAATTCAAATCTAATAGTTTCCCAACTGATCTTTTTTAGTCTAGACCTGATCTTCTCTAATCTATCTCCTATATGATTCCAGAAAACTTGCTTTAAAATGCAAATCTGATCCTTCTACCCTGATTGAAACCCTTGGGAATATCCTACTCCCTATCCGGACTCTATCAGCTACAATAACCTTTGAGCTCTTTTTAATCATGCACCCCTGACATATGCATGAATTCCTGCTCTAATTTATTACATAATATACAGAAAATTGACATTTAAAAGGATGACATAAAAAAACAAAAATTCCAGTTTCCTCTCTCCTCCTAATGCTCTGCATGCCCACATTCCTCTTTGAAGACCACTGGCCTAAAGGGAAATGTCCAAGTTCCTGTGTATGGCATTCAAGGCTGGGTACCAGTTGTTCCTTGCCTCTCTGTCCAACTTCATCCCTCATCACTTCACCCCACACACCATATGCTTCAGCCAGGCAAATTATTTGTGGCTCCTTCAATAAATAAGAAATTAAATTTTAACTTGTATTCTTGAAATAAACATATATGCATCTTTACAACTGTTCTTTCCTCTTCCTGGAATGTCTTTGTTATCCTTTCTAGCCCAGTGAGTACTCGTCATTCAGATCAAGTGTCATGACCTCTCTCTGGTTAATTACTCCCACCTTAGTGTACTTATTTCTATTATTTCTATATTATATTCAAATTATATATTTGCCTTTCTAATCTATAAGCTTTGCCACAGTCCTTTAGCTCCCTGAGGACAGAGGACAGTAACATCATCCAACCTGAGTCACTTAAGTATTGTTCAATGGCAGCTGAATAGTTTTGTCTCACACGTTAAGCCAACTCTTGAAGTGAACCAACAAATTCTACTGAAGTTTACCACCTAGCATCATCATCCCTATCTGTAACATGCTAAGGGCTGCCAAGCCAGTAATATGCATAAGCCACATCCACGAGTCATCCAAACAAGTGAGACTCCTCACAGCCTCAGAAGTCTCCAAGTCAGATGACTTGGTGCCTTCTATTTTTACTCAAATTTAGCCATCATCATCACTGGGAATTGCTCCCCTTCTAAGATTTCAAACTGAAATCTCTTCTTTGACCACAAGATCCACCTCAACCACTAAAAGTGTTCTTCCCCTTTACGGGGTACCTCACCTGTACCATTCAGCCTGCTTATTCTGCTGGTCTGGTCAGGCCTCCCCTCTCTCTAGTCAGAACTCCACAGCCAATCATTTCAATCATAGTCTCACTAGCATCCATGGTTACCATGCCTGCTGGCCCATCTTACATGTCTTCCCATTTCCAACTCTGTGTTAACCAAAGCATATTTGTTTTGCTTTTTTATTTCTGCTTCTGAGCCTAGCCCTGAAAATTCAGATTATCATTCCTTACGTGAATTCTCAAAAAATTATTTAATCCTTCCATGTCAACTTTTCCCTATATTATCAGCCATCCTTTCCTTCTCTAAGGTCTTAGGAAAAGAGACATCCCTGGATACTCTCCAAGGATAACCTATCTGGATACCACTTCTTTCCATTTTCTTTGGTATCATAATGACTCCTTCAATATCTTCAACTATACCTCCCCTGACTTTGACCCGGATCCCATCTCATTACATTTTCATTTTTTTCTACCATTCATGATTGAATAGTTAGTTCATGTCACCTTTATTTCCTAACTACTCATACACTTCTTTTTTTGGAGACAGAGTCTTACTCTGTTGCCAAGGCTGGAGTGCAGTGGCACAATCTTGGCTCACTCACTGCAGCCTCTGCCTCCCAGGTTCAAGCAATTCTCATGCCCCAGCCTCCCAAGTAGCTGGGACTATAGGCGCCCACCACCACGCTGGGCTAATTTTTTGTATTTTTAGTAGAGATGGGGTTTCACCATGCTGGCCAGGTTGTTCTCGAATGCCTGACCTCAAGTGATCCGCTTGCCTCAGCCTTCCAAAGTGCTAGGATTACAGGCGTGAGCCACCATGCCCGGCCTATTCATACACTTCTGATTTTCAATTCGGATTCAACCTTTACAAACAGCTCTTTCAGGTCACCAATGACCTGTTCATTGTCAAATCCAACAGGCTCTCTCCATTCAGCTCAACTTCTCTGCATTACTTATATTATGGATAACCACCTTTCCTCCTTTAAACTCTCCTCTGTAGTTTTTTTGTCACTACGTTGCCTTAGTCTTCCTGTTTCTCTGACCACTTTTGTCCTACCTCATCCACTGGCTCTGCTTTCCAGAGCTAAGTCTTCAATGTCTTATGTCTTTAAAGACTATGAAAGCTTATGTACTCTACATGTGCTTACAATAATGGAATTCCTTCCCCATTAAAAATATAAAATAAGGACTTTTATGATCCTATCCTCTTTTTCTGCTGTCTAATATTTGAGTGATGTCACTAAAAATTTTAAATGAATGCAGTATTTGGGGAACACAGAAAAATTTCCTACTGCCAATATTAAAATAAGAACAACAACTGGTTTCAATAATCTTGTAGAGATTGGCCATATGCACCAGAAGGTGAACGTAACTCATCAACCTCAATGGAGTATTAGAAGGGAGAATCCAGAACATGGTGGATGATATTAATCTACATTACTAACTTTGAGGGTTACTAATTTGGTATTTTGGTTCTCAAAAGTTAGTTTTCCCCCAATTTAGAAAAGAGCTTCTAAATATAAGTTGAATAAAGCAATTGGAGGAAGTAACACCTTTTATTTTCCTGCAACCTGAAAAGGAAAAAGGCAATATTCAAAAAATAATAAATTGCCACAATATGTTCGAACAAACTTTTACAACTTTTTTTCTTCACTAATACTTTGGAAGAGCTATTAAATTTCTGTTTTTCTTGTTATAGGGTACTTTTTTTTTTTTTTTTGAGACAAGAGTCTCATTCTGTGGCACAGGCTGGAGTGCAGTGGCATAATCTTGGCTCACTGCAACCTCCACCTCCCAGGTTCAAGCGATTCTCCTGCCTTAGCCTCCTGAGTAGCTGGGGGTACCACCACGCCTGACTAGTTTTTGAATTTTTAGTAGAGATGGGGTTTCACCATGTTGGCCAGGCTGGTCTTGAACTCCTGACCTCAGGTGATCCCCCTCGGCCTCCCAAAGGAGGCCCTTCCAAAGTGCTGGGATTACAGGCGTGAGCTACCATGCCCAGGCCACGTTTTAAAAATATTAGCAAAACACTCAAGAAGAAACAATTTTGAATGAACACTGATAATAAAAATCTAGATATAATGCAACATTCAATTTAGGGTTTGTTCATATTTGAGATCTTTAATTGGACTGTGGGTGGATTTGATGTGCTGTTAATTGTACATAATTAGGAATGTGTGTATAAACAAGATATTTCAGCCTAAATTGAATTATTCTATCGGGTAATATACAACACTACCTAACCTTTTGCAAACTGCTATTCTCTTCTTTTTCTCTGAATATTGTCACACTAAAAAAAGTACGCCTCAGCACTGAGATGCAAGTAAAACTGACATTTTACATAATCTGTGTCCCTGCCCTGTCTTTTAATATTAACTTGATTGTTTTTTTCATCTCTTACTGTTATATAAGAAGATACTAAACTAGTCAACCAAAAGAAAAGAATGAGAAGGAAAAGGCATTTTATAAGGATTTCAAATCTTATTTTAAACCACTGATTGAAAAAAGAATGTATACAAGTAGTGGTTTACAAATTGAATTAAGAACAATGACAGCCATGACAACACATTGTATCACATGATCATTTAACATTACCTTCAACAAACTGGCCATGAACTTAATCATTTACTAGAGCCGTAGTAGGTCAAACAGAAATCCAGCCAAACAAAGCTGTTCAATAATAGCTATAGGAGGAATATGCCTTTATACCTTTTATCTTGAGAATTTGTCATTTTTTCTAAATCCAAACAGATCACACATATAAACAATTCAACCATAAATGATATACTTGGAAATCTTTAACCATTCGGTAAATCTAAAGGACAATGCTGGTTTATACGTGAAGTATAATAAGCATAAAACAACAAAATCAGAAGTGATTTAATAAGTAATTCAAAAAGTTTTCTCAGTTATTGAAATGAATCTCTCGAGAATAGGATTTCTACTACTTAATTGCTCATGAGTAATTAATTGAAAAATGGGAAACTGGAAGAACCTTGAGCTGCTGGAAAGTTTGTGTTTTTTTCTGTTTTTCACTAGTGTTTCTCCATGACCAGTAAGGGTCAACATAACCAAGAATTATTCTCTAGCGTCCCTCCTTCAGGCATTCCCTAAAAGTAAAAAGTAATGCTGGGTGCTTTTGGAATCTCAGAATATATTTCATCTGAGCCTCTAATTTTACAGATGGAGAGAGAAACTGTGCCTGAAAAGGTAAGAGACTCATCCAAAGTCACAAGACAGCAGCAGAGCAGGGCCCAGCACTGAAGACCTCTCAGGAGGTTCGAGTGACTGCAAGGTCAATTACAGGGGCACCTCTTGATCTTTGTCACCATTCCCTTTCCACATGGCCCAGACTGTACAAGAGAAACCAGAATCTTCTTAAACTATGATTCTCAACAACCTCAAAGTTAGCACTGCACCTTCCTAACACACCACTTATAAAGGTCATTAGCAGGAACTCTCACTTGGTACATGTGCTAAAGAGAATATCAAAACCACCTGTGATTAAGCAAAACCTACAAAAAACAGTATTAAGTTTTACTGTTTTATGTAAACTGATTTTAAAAAATGAGTTTGTTCATCATTGTCGAGAGAACATCTGATACCAATGAACTCTCAACTACTTTAAAGTGAAGAATTAACACAAAATTACCTTTGAAGGTTTCAAGTTCCTTCCTGTAGGAAAAAAAAAAAAAAGACAAGACAATGCAAATTAAAAATCTCCCCAATGAAAACTGTTCTTCCATCATAATAAAAACTTATGTACTTTAAATGCCCACAGTGGTATTTCTGGATCTTCACATATCAGTTATACTTTACTGAAATGACCAGTACAATGAGCCTAAACCAACTATTTTCAGTTATTTCTGCTATTTTCTATTAATGGCTCAAAAAAGTTCCACCAGAATCCAAATAATAATCTAAACAATTTCATCTAAACAATAAAACAATTATAAGAACACAGACAGCATTTTAATCCCAGCTATGAACCATCTCATACATGTAAGAATCAGTTTATAAAAAGCACTTAACACAATTTTTCCTTGATGGATAAATATTCAATACTGGATTTTTGAGATCGTTAGTTAAGAATTATCCAAAATAGAAGCAGTTGTTTTCCCTTTCAACAGCAAAAGAGAAAAGGGGGAAAGTGCATATCAAAGGATTGAGGTGCACAGCTCATGCCACAAAGGGCCAAGCCTCTAGGAATCTTCTGGTTTATTATTTTGTCAATATTAAGTAAGGATGCCAAAACACAAAGTTTCCTGGGAAGTGTACAGTGGGGAAACATAGATTAAAATAAACATTTTGTGACAAAGAAAGCAAAGCAAGTTGTTTTGAGGCTTTCCCTCACAATTTTGCAGTTACGTATTTTTTTTCCTCATTATCAGTACTAATGAGTAATTTTGAGGAAATAAAGGCTGGTTATCCCAGTTAAAATATGAGACATTTATTTTGTACTTGCAGTCCAGGTTTTACTAAAAATCTAGAGATGTTTTGAATTCTTAAATCAATTTTCTACACACCTAATTACAATACCCCTCATGTTCCAAAATAGCTGACTACACTCAACAGCTGCTAGAAGAGACTGGCAAGCTGCCTACTGAAAGGCCAAGTAGATAATGTTCTTGCAACAGCCAAAGTGAAGGTTCTTAAATCAGATGGTCATCCCACTCCGTTTTTTCCTAACAATATCTACTTATAATAATTATCCAGCACCATGGTTCATAAACTATGCAAGAATTTTCAATCCTATTTTTTCAAAAACCTGTGTGGCTGGGCGTGGTGGCTCATGCCTGTAATCCCAGCACTTTGGGAGGCTGAGGCAGGTGGATCACCTGAGGTCAGGAGTTCGAGATCAGCCTGGCCAACATGGTGAAACCCCGTCTCTACTAAAAATACAAAAAAATTAGCCGGGTGTGGTGGTGGGCACCTGCAATCCCAGCTACTAGGGAGGCTGAGGCAGGAGAATCACTTCAACCCAGGAAGCACAGTTAGCAACAAGCCAAGATCGTACCACTGCACTCCAGCCTGGGTGACAGAGCGAGACTCTGTCTCAAAAAAAAAAAAAACGAAACAAAACAAAAAAACAAAAACAAAACCTGTGTAATTGTTTCCCTTCAGTCAATAATCAACTTCATTCTTAAAAGCTTAGCTAGGTACAAGCTAAATATGCCTAAAACCTGCTTTATACCCCGATAATAAAAACCAGAATACAACAGGAAGGCAATATGTATCACAAGAGAATCTCAAAAAGATATCTTCAATCTACTTCTTAGTGACATCCTCACATTAGCAATTCCCCGACGTGGGGAAAGTTGACAGAACACTCAGTTCAATATTCTAATGAGTAATTCTTTTTTTTTTTCTATGATTACAATGTTTAGAGAGCTTCTAATTTTCTTCTTTTAGAATGTGTGACTGTGAGCAGAATTTCTAAAGGGCTCTCTTGTTTTAAAAAGCTGAAACTCAGAATAATGATTTCACAGACACTGTTATTCTCCTACCCCCAAATACTAACAACCATAAAAACAAGGAATCCAGCAACTACTATTAAATACATTAATGAGTGAGTGTGCAATTGAGGAGGGCGGTTTTCCTGTGGACTCATCCTGCTCACCCTGCAACCGTCTGTCTGCTGCTGTGAAGAGGACAAGCCCAGCATCTTCTGGGCATCCTCTGTCACACAGCGTCATGACCCACAACTCCACAACTGTCAGCGAAATTTCCAGGAAACTTCCCTTCAGAAAATCATTCCTGTACCCAATTCCTAAAACAGATGACTGCTTGAAGTAGTGGTGGTACAAATAATTGGTTTAAAGAAAAAAATCAGTATTATGCAACTTTTTTTTTTTTTTTTTTTTTTTTTTTTTTTTGAGACAGAGTCTTGCTCTGTCACCCAGGCTGGAGTGCAGCGGTGTGATCTTGGCTCACTGCAACCTCTGCCTCCCGGGTTCAAGCAATTCTCCTGCCTCAGCCTCCCGAGTAGCTGGGATTACAGCCACCCACCACCACATGCCTGGCTAATTTTTGTATTTTTAGTAGAGATGGGGTTTCACCATGTTGGCCAGACTGGCCTCAAACTCCTGACCTCAGTTGATCCACCTGCCTCGGCCTCCCAAAGTCCTGGGATTACAGGCATGAGTCATCGTGCCCAACCAGTATTATGGAACTTTTAAGGAACTGATGAGGTAAAGCAGCAGCACTGAAAGCCTTGAAATTTCACAATTGTTAGGGTGTACTCCACCATCTGTTAGAGGTACTCAGCATTTGGAAATATAGAAAATGTAAGAGAAGGCAGGGAAAGGCATGTCAGTCACAGGCAGCAGTGACTGTGAGGTCACAGAGGCCAAAGACGACGCAGGTTATATTTAGGAAACAGACTTCAGAACAGCAATACTTCAGCAAGTACTTGTCCTGGAGCAAATACTTCAGAACAGCAGGCTGAATGAAGAGAAAGTAATTCAGATAAAAAGGTAGAGAGTTCTCAGTGCCAGGCTAAAATATTTTGTTTTATTTTTAGCAGGAGAATAACATGAGCAAAGCTGTATTTTAGGAAGAACGTTCTAGCTGTGATGGATGGATATACTGGCAAGGGAGAGAATAAAAGCAGTGAGTACACAGGAAACTCACGTTGGGGGCACGTGGGGAAGAGCTAATTAATACTTGGCAAGAGCAATGTTAAGTGGTAATGACAATGAAATGAAGGATTCCAATTTGAAAAGTATCATAAAGAAGACTCAACAGCCCAAGGCATCTGACTCAATGGGGTAAGGAGAGGAAGGAGACAAGCATGCTAACCGGGGCAGTTCTAGTCTGGATCATAAGAAGGAAAAGATTTTGGAGGGCAATGCATGAGTTCGGTTTGGAAATTGCTGAAACAGGAAGACTGAAAGCTGCAGACAGGATTCCCATCCCCTTCAGCCTACTCGAGGATTTAACTCCTACAGATTCCTACTCCCTCGCTTCGCATTCACTCTTGAACCCATTCCAATTTGGCTTCTGGACCCCCCATTACACAATCAACACCACCAACAATCATCATGTTGCCAAATCCAGAGACCACTTCTCTGTTTTCATCCTAATCCTTAAGCAGCATTTGACCCAACTGGTGGTTTCTTGAAACAGTTCCCTCTAGTGTTCTCCCACCTCCTCAGTTTCTTTTGCTATTGTCTCCATCCCTTCCAGACCACCAGATGCTGGAGTGCTGCAGGCTTGGTTCTGGGCCCTCTTCTCTCCTCAGCTTACATTCGCTCATAAGCCAATTTCATCCCTAGCTTTAAATGCCATCCATATGCTACTAACTTCCTGATTACATTTCCTGTCTTGATCTCTTCTTTGAGCTCCAGACTCATATGCAACTGCCCATTTGATAGCTTTATGCAAAAGTGGAGTAGGCTACTCAAACATTTGCAAGACAGCCTGTTCTTCTCCAGTCGACGTCATCTCAGTTAATGGCATTACCCGGCTCCTCAAGTTTTGGCTCATCCATCTCCCTCATTCTCCATCCAATTCATCAATAAATCCTGTCAATTCCATCTCAAAAGATAGCCTGAATTGATCCACTTCTCTCCATCGTCACTGCCATCAACCTTATATAAATATCCATTTTCGTATACTAAATATAATCTTGGTTGAGTTCAATCATTCATTCAACAAAAATTTACTAAGCCTTAGACACTATGATAATGTTAGGAATAGCATTAGGAATAATGCTAGGTTTGGAATAGACATGTTCCATAACCTCAAGGAACTTTAGTGGGAGAGACAGAGAAATAAAGCAATAATTAGAAATCAATGTCATAGATTATAGTGCTTTGGTAATGACATGCTGAGGATTCTCTAGGAATAAAGAAGAGAGGACAACTCATACACTTAGGTTTGGTAGGAAAGGCCTCCTGGAGAAGCAAGGACTGAGCTGATGCATTTTCAAGGACAGTATAACTGATGATGATGGGCAACATTTATCGAGAACATGGCAGATATTTTACTCTTAAGCATTAAGACATACTCTCAGCTAACCAGATGAAAAAGCATGGGTAAGCAGGAGTTTTAAGTTCCAGTCACTCTCCTTCAAACTGTGTTATTAGCATAAAAATGCTAATAATAATAATTAGTGTAAAACAGCCTTCAAGTTCATCTTTTCCAAGAAGACTTCATTGACATCCAATCAGTGATCTCTCCTTTATCAAAAATTCTGTAGCACTAAACTCTATCAATATTATACATTTCATGTGCTGCCTTGTAATGTGGTTCTGTTCATACAGGTATCGTCTCTACAGTTCCTGAAGTGCAGAGACTGCATCTCTTCCATCCTGCATCACATGCGTGCCCAGAGTTGGACCCAACAGACACTCAGCAAATCATGATTACCAAGTACTGAGGCTGCAGGATGACTAAGATCTGCTTCTTCAAAGAGGCCATTGCTGTAATAAAATATAGATTTTATTTTTGATAAAGTTTGATCAAATATTATCTCATTTGAAACAACTTGTTTGTTGCTTGCATTTTCTAAAAATTGAGTTTATTTCCATAGTTTAATAGTATTTTCAGAAGATCAAACAAAAAATTGAAATGTCTCATTTTAAATGTTAACATATTTCAAAATTTACTCAATTCAGCTAATGCCTTTACAAAATTTAGCATAACCCTAAAACTAAAACATTCAAAAAATAACAGCAGGATCAAAAGCTAATAATATTCCAAAGGGTGAAACTGCTATTATTTAATCATTTTCTCTCCAGGGATTGAGTTATAAAGAATAAAAATGAAAGAAAGAATCACATTAATAAGCCTATGGAATGTTACAAGAAGTATATTAAATCTATATATATGAGTAGAAATCAACTAGCTCAGACTGAAGATGAAAACTTAATAGACAGAAGCTACTGGATAAATGCCTCCATAAACACAGATAAAGCAAACTCTCTCTAAATCCTAAACTGCCTCCCTAGGACAAATCCATGATAAAAGGCTAACACAAAATACCACATTCAAAACACCAACTGCAAATTGCACCCTAACATTTTTCTTCATGTGTAGAAATGTTTAGGGGAAATTTTTTTTAAGCATGATCAGCAATACTCTTTTATAGAACATTCCTGAACAGTGTCCCTTTGTTATGGCTGATGGACAGAACCTATTACTGTGACTACTTGTTCCTGGGAAAGATCTCACAGGCCCACTCTCAAGAAAGAAGCATCTACCATTCATCACCAACAAGTCAGAGGTCTGTTGTTTTCCGGCAGTCCACAGTCCTGTGGTGCCACCCTACAGGCTTGGTGGGGTTGAGGGGGATTGGGGGTGGGTGGTGGGAGGGACCTCCTTCCAGCTTGAGATGAATTTTCTCAGGACTCTCTATACCTTAAAAGTCTCTGTTGTCATTTATTCTTATACAAAACCAGCAAGACATTCTCAACATTATCTTTAAAATAAAACCTCTTAAAAAGCAGCCAGTTCACTGTAAAAATGGCATTATATCCTTATTTATTATGCTATTAATATAAATTGTATATATCTATTTTGGGCAAATACAGCCAAGAAAGTAACAAGATGATAAGATTCCAAAATCTTGGAATTTAAAGTTGAAAAGGATCTGAAGGATATGGTAACAAAGCCTGGAATTTAAGAAAAATGGATTCCAAAAAAGATAATGAAGGTCTACGCAGGTTGGCAGCACTAAGTTATACATGGATTACATTCCATCCCACCTT
Source organism: Homo sapiens (assembly GCF_000001405.40). Classification (NCBI taxonomy): domain Eukaryota; kingdom Metazoa; phylum Chordata; class Mammalia; order Primates; family Hominidae; genus Homo; species Homo sapiens. Next base: position 15,599,120 of record NC_000006.12, read on the forward strand.
GCAAGAATCATTTCCCTAAACCTATTTTACATGAAAATCTATTTGATTTAGAAGCCATGCCTGGATAAAGAGAGGTTGAAGCAAGTAGGATAAGGAAAGATGAGACAGGGGTAAGGGATATTTATTGAGTTCCTACTGTATACTCCACAATATGCAAGGCACTTTACACATACTGTCTCCTATAACTTGTAATTACCTAACTGTAGGTATCATCACCCTCACTTAATACATGAGGAAAATGGGGCTTGAGGATGGAAGGCCACACAGATAGTAAGTGACAGAACTGGGAATAAAACCCACAGCTGACTCTGCATGTGTATCATCTTCAGCATCCAGAATACAGTTCAAGGGTCAAGTTTAGCCCTAACAGAAAGTTACTTAAGTAGATCACTAAATCTACAGAATTCCAGAGTCAGATATGTGAAACTCAGAGCCACCCCAAAACATCCAGGCAACATCTGGGTCTACCTAGCTTGGGGAAAGTACATTATTTTTAGGAAACTAATAAAAACTAACGTTGAAAGCCAGGATCGTTGATGTATGCATGAGGTAAAATCCCCAACATAGCCCTGAAGACATGTCGTGGTTTTCAAAAATAAGCCTGCAAAAAACACTTTTATTTTCACTGGTGTACTAGTGTTTAATGACTAGTCCACAGCAACTAATTGGCTAAAAATCTTTATTACAAATTTAAATTTAAATTTTTATTACAAATTTAAAAAATTTATATCACCTTTGTGTTACTGATTTTTTTATTCAAAATTCTTAGTGGCTAGCCAATTCCTTAAAGAGCCATCCTACCATTAATTATCACCAAATCAATGGTTTGTCATTTATTAGCTGTCTGCAGTCATGCCCCACCACTTGAAACTGTATATCCTTACAGGCTTGTTGCCATTTATAGCTGATAGGGTAGAAGGTGGATTTTTTTTTTTTAAACTCATGCATCCCACATACAAATATATTCCTGATCAAGCGGCACCAGGCCCTAAAATCTCAATCCATCCTTACATTGAGTCACCCACAGCAGTCCATACACGCAGAGAAGCAAGGTCCTTTCCATACTCCATGGCACCCAAGCACAGAGTACAGATGGCTTTGTGTGGAGGCAGTTTACTATCAAAGATATGAGGAGACTTTGAAGTCAGGAAAACATTGGTTCTGGCCCAGCACCGCTACTTCCAACTCCTGACAAGTTGTTTTATCTCCCCTAGTCTCTCTTTTCTTATTGGTAGAGAAGAGAGTACACCTACTCAAATGGTCATTGTGAGACTTCCATGAGTTAATTTGGAGTTTTTAAGCAGTGTCTGGTACATATTAAGTGTTCAATAAAGGCTACTGCTATAGTCACCATCATCATTTAATTTTTTTTATCTTGACGATCAGAAATCTTAATATCTACATTTGGGAAAAAATGAGCACTCTAACAGTAATATAAATGAAGGGACACAAGACTACAGACAGCAAGACTAATTAAGAGGCTATTAGTGTAACTCAGGCTACAAAGACGTGGGCTAGAACTCCGGAAAGGATCAGTGAAGACAGAAAGGCAAGGACAGAGTCAGGAAATATTGGGCTGGACTGAGAACTGAGCAGGTGGTAGGAGAGGAAGGAGGAGATTATGAAGACTCCCATATTTGTGGCCTGGATAAATCTGTAGTGATGGTATCTTATTAGAACAGAAAAAGGTCAGGTTTTGCTGTGGAAGACAATTTTGGGCATGGTGCTGTTGAGAAGTCCAGGAATAGCTGTGTAGGTGGCAACTGGTTCTGCAGGTAAGAAGAGAGACCTGCACTGAATACAGTGGTTTGATAATGATCACCTTATGGCTGGCAGATGAGCCAAGGATGTAGAAGAGCATGCCCAAGGAGGGTCTGCAGAATGAGAGGAGGCAACAACCAAGACCAGAGCACAAGTGAACACCAGCATTAAAACATTTACAAAGAAAACTAAAATGAACCTGAGGCAGAGAAGAACATCTGGGATACTGGTGTTGAAGTCAAGAGAGGACAGTATCAAGTCAGGTAAATAAAGATTGATTTGTCAAGGACCTTAGTTACTTAAAAAGCTAAGAAAAACATAGGTTAAACACTTCAAATGAATCATGGATTTGTTCTCTAACAATGTTTTCATATTATACAATGTTGATGCAATCTTTCTTTTTCGACAATATTTTAACTGTGGTATGCCATGTACCTTGCCCATTCATTTTAATTAAGAAATATTCTTAAAAGTTCATTATGAGGTAAAATCGTGTTTTAACTTTCCCCAAACTAGTCCAATGTTAAGAATTTTAAAGGATACTTTTTAGCTTTTAAAAACCCATGTACAGCAAAAATATTGGGATCAACTAATAAATTCTCAAATCTACCTGAATTAATCCTTAAGAACTGTAACTTCTATTTTCTCTGCCTCAAAAGTAACGTGTTATTTTATATGACAATAATGCACTTCTCTGATATCAGTTATAATAAGAATTGGTCCTAGGCCGAGGCAGATGGATCACCTGAGGTCGGGGGTTCAAGACCAGCCTGACCAAGATGGAGAAACCCCGTCTCTACTAAAAAAAAAAAAAAATTAGCCAGGTGTGGTGGCGCATGCCTGTAATTCCAGCTTCTCAGGAGGCTGAGGCAGGAGAATCACTTGGACCTGGAGGCAGAGGTTGTGGTGAGCTGAGATCACGCCATTGCACTCCAGCCTGGACAACAAGAGCAAAATTCCATCTCAAAATAAAAAAAGAAAAAGAAAAAAAAAAAAAGGGTCCTAAACAGAACATAACATGAAACTTCCAGAGAGGAAGGAAAATGTTGCTATCTTTGGGGGAAAATGTCCCTCTTTGAAATCCAGTATCAAACCTCTCCAGTAGCATTAGCCGGGCACAATAATTCAAACCTGTAATCCCAGCTACTTGGGAGGCTGAGGCAGGAGGACCTCTTGAGCAATATACCAAAACCCTGTCTGAAAACAAAACAAAACAAAACAAAAAACTATCTCCAGTAGCAATTGTTTCAATTCCTTTGAAACAATTATAGTGCCATTTTTTTTTCTGAGCCAGAATGAAAGACTAGTAATAGTAAAAGGCAGGCAAGAAAAAGAGACCTGCTTCTTAGCCATAGAAAAAACGGGGCCAACACAGCCATGCTAGAGCACTGCCCAGAGAGGGTAGAGAAGGGCTGCAGCAGAGAGGAGGAGCACTGTTTTCTTGTTGCTGACTTCACCATGGTTCTTGCTTACCACCGATGTCAGAGCAGGTATGGCAGGCTGCCAGGTGTGCCTCTGCCTGTCCCAGCTCTCATATCCGTCAAGAAAACCAGAAAAGTGAGAAAAGCATAGGGTAATATCATGGTTTTAGCTACATTCAACTGAAGACTAAAATAACTGATAAATTTTATACTTTTGAAAGTATCTTTGAAAAACACAGTAACTGATGGAACATAAACTCCAACACAACTATGGGTCATAAAAAACATAAAATATTATTCCAAATGTAATAAATGAATTCTAAAACACTGAAAGTTATTACAGACTCTAAATTATAATGTACAAACTATAATCAATCTAACTTTGGAAAAAAGGATTACCTACTTTTCAACCCAGGATAATAATAATTTTGCTTTGCTTAATTTCAAAAAACTTTTCTCGAGATTGCTATATCTTTAGTCTCTGCTCCTCTCCACCTCAAAGATACACTTTAGGTTTTCATGCCTCTTAAAAACAAAAAGCTTGAACCCCAGCGTGTCATTTGCATAACTGGAGGAAAGAGATAACGAAAAGAATTTTGTAAACCAGTTAGAGAGACATTTATTATTTAAAAATGGCAAACAGATACTCATTGTTCAAAATAAAGCTTTATGAACTTAAATATCAGTCCTAAACTCTATTTACTGTCAACCCAAGGATCTAATAAACTGTTAAATATTCTAGCTACATCTGTTCTCGTGACTACACATAAAGTCTGAAACTGCCAAGATTTATTCTCTAACAGACACTTTAGAGCAAAAATTTTGTTAAGTTCAATTCCTTGCCAACTCATAAGCTTAGGTTTAATTTTAAAAGAAAATGTAAGGTGTGATTACACATTTATGAAGCCAACAAATTCATAGCTCTCAGTCTGTTTTCAAGAGGTCATTGGCCTAGTAAATGTGATTACATTATAATAAATACAATAAAATAAAAATGTCAATTTACTTTCAATTAACCACCTGGGAACCATCTAAAATCTAGCATCTAATAGGGAGAGGGGGGAGTAAAAGGAGAAAATGGAGAAAAGAGATACAAGTTTCAGCCTTTTTTATATTTTCCATGTCTCTACTTCACTTTTTGAACAGAATACAGTTACAATAACAATTTTTACTGTCCTTGTCTTCTAATTCTAATATCTGTGTCAGTTTTTAATGGCTTTGATTGACTATCTTCCTCCATATGTTTTCCTAGTAATCTTTGATTAGATACCAGACATTGTGATTTATCTTGTTTGGTGCTAGGTATTTTTATATTCCTATAAATACTCTTGAGCTTTGTTTGTTATACAGTTAATTTACTTGGAAACAGCTTGATTCTTCTGATGCTTGCTTTATGATTTGCTAAGCACGTCTTCAGCAGTATTCAGACAAAAGCCAATTACACATCCTACTGAGGCAAGAATTCACCGAGTCCACTTCCCAATACCTCAGTAATTATGAGTTTTCCCAGTCCGACTATTGGGAAGAGGCTCTGTGTGAGTGCCAGGCACTGTTAGCTCACCCTCTTGGATATTTTTTTCCCTCCTGCCTTGGATAGTTTCCTCACCTGTATTATCAGGTGAATATTCATGGAGACCCTCTCAGAAACTCTCTCCTCTCTGGGACTATGTCCTGTAAACTCCAGCTGCCTTGATCTCCCCAGATTTAGCTCTTCAACTCTGAGTCTGCCAGGCTCTGCCTGGGTCCACTTCCCTGCAGTGCACCCTGGAAACTCTCTCTAGGCAGGATGCAGAGGCAATCACAGGGCTCACCTCACTTGTTTCCTATCTATCGGGTACCATCACATCTCTTCTTTGTCCAAAATCCAGTGTCTTAAAAACATTCTCTCATTTATTTCACCTGGTTTTTCATTGTTTCGGGGGAGAGAATAAATCTGGTCCCTGTTACTCCATCCTGGTGGATGCAGAAGTCTGCTCCCTTTTTGTAAAGTCATTGCCTGCGGAAAAGTTCTCCTGCTCCCCTTTTCATTCAGCATCCAAACAGACTTCTGCTGCAGAACTGCAGAAGCTAGTTACTGCCCTGCTGCTTGGCTCCTTCAGAGAAGGTGCTCTCGATCTTCTCTTTTGGTTCCAGAAGAACCAAAAGAGATCGTTTTTGGATCTTTACCCTGGAGAATGCTGTTGGTTTCTTCTCTCCCATTCTCAGCTCCGCAAAGCCAGGCCTGAGGGCCACACTCCTGCCACACCTCCCCTTCTCCCCAGCTTGCCAGTCTCTTGGCAGGTGAGCTTGAACACTCATTTCTTGAAGCTCAGGAATTTGGCAAGTTAGTCTCTAGAACATACACTGGTCAAACGCCACTACAGATACGCCATAATCTCTTAAATATATCTGTTATACTTTGTTCTAAAGATTTTCTAAATATAGTCCATAGTCCAAATGTTACCAAAAAACAAAACAAAAAAACACAAACAAAAAGAAGGGCAGAGTCCCTTGGCATTAACTATAGTAGATATATAAACATAAAGCAAAAAGAATCAGGACCCTTAAAATATGCATAAGCACTAAATCTCATCAGAGGCAGCAGCGACCACCACTTCTAGGAGGTGGGTTCCAGGAGACAAGCAAATTTCAAAGTCTGGATAAATCAGTGAAAAATGTTTCTGGAGTCAGTATGCCCCTAAGCAGGTTTCGAGTCCAACAGAAGACTATGTTAAAATTATGAGTCACTTATAATTAACAAGAATTGCTAAAATCACTGTTCTTCAAGATGTTACTATTTTTGGAGAAATTCTGATGGTATGCTGTGTACTGAAGGGGAAAGCATAAGTACTGAAGGAGATGCATAAGGGATCTAGAAACTTGGAAATAAGAAATATTTTAATCAAATTACACACTTATGGATGATTTCAAGTATAACTAATTATTGTGAGAGAACTTCAATAAGCACTCTAAGGATTATGGTGGCACTGGAAAGATTAAAAATCTAGAAGGTTGAGATTCTATACTTCCATTTAGCTCTATCTCTAAACGTACCTACTGTTCATGACTCGGGGTCTTTGTTCCCACTGTTCCTTCTGTTTGGAGCTATACAGTCCTAGATCCTCATATGACTGCCATCTTACTCAAACCTCTTCTCACATATCTTCTCAGAAGAGCCTGTCCTGCTCACCCTAGCTGAAGCAGTCCTCCCCTGCCTTACCACTATACCATTACTCCATTTTATTTCCTTTGAGGTTTATATTATTGTCTGAAATTATTCTTTTTTTCTTTATAAATTTATCATCTGTCTTCCTCCACACCCCTAAGAATATAAGCTGACCCTCAAATCTCAAGCCCACTTTTCTAATTGCTAGCTAGAAAAATCCATGTAAATGGTTTTAAGTTCTTTATTTTGGCTCCTATACTAAATATTAGCTCTTCTTTCTTTACGAAAAATGTATTTCCTATTGGTTACAAAAGCTTCTGCCAGGGGTCCATGAATTAGACTCGTATGGCTGTAGCACTCATCTTCTGAACTATCTGACAACTTAGCTACTGGTTTGAGTACCTGTCTTTGCCTATAGCCATATTCTAGCCACTACACAATGTTTTGTTGTTTATCAAGGCAATGTCCGTTCCAGTCTACAAAGGCACTGGTAACAGTAATATCATTTTACATGCAGAAAAATATTTAGAAAAGCAATTTATGGGTATTTTCCCCGTACAACCACACAAGTGTCTTAGATGGCACTTTTCTCAGATAACTAGCTAAAGAGAGATGTCCTACTTTACTGCACAAATGAAGTGGATTAAACCGTCTATTCAAATGTTTCTCAAGGGTAGGTAAGAGCTATCAGAACCATCCCTAGGCTGTATATTTCCCTACCCACTGGGAGAATCCCCTGACTAGGAAGCCACTGTCACGTTTATTTTATTTTGTGTTTATTTATTTTATAATGGGTCACAGTCCTGTTTTTGTAGGGGCAGGAATGTATTCTCTCTGCTGGGAACGTCCGTCAAATGAATGACAAAATATCATATATCCATTTGAAACTACAGATGCACTGGTATAAACATCTGGGACTCAATCAGTTTGTTCCAACTTAACATCAAAAAAGAAGACACATTTGGGTTGGTGTGGTGGTGTGGTGGGAGCCTTGGACTGAAGACTCTGGTTCTGATGCTGGCCCCTAAATAGTCTGATGACTTAATGCAACTCAATCTCCTTCTCAACTCCAAAAATTGCTGCCCTGCCCACACTACAGGCTCTGGTGGGAGCTGAATGAGAAAAGCCATAGGAGCCTATTGCAGAGCCTATTAGCACTGGAGGAGTGTGAAAAATTATCTTTCATTCTCCCACTCTCCCCACCTTCATCCAGTGTTCTGGCCCGGATTTTTGGGAAAGCTACAGGGTGTGCAAACATTGTTAAAAAAATGCATGCACATAAGCATATCACATATCCAACTTTTTCTATCACATATTATCGTTTTCTTCAGAGTAAGAAAAGTCATTAGTGTAGTTTGCATAGCATCTTGTTAAAAAGGAAGAAGGTTTATTTTTAAGCGACTCATCTCTTATGAACCAGAAAATTAAAAGTTTTTCACTGGCAGTATTTGAAAATTTCTCAAATGGTGTTATGTAGAATACTAAGTCACAGAATGTTAATATGTGTTACATGCAAATTGATTCTGTGAGCAAGTAAGTTGTGAAATGCTGAGTCAAAAAAAAATTTTTTTTTTTTTTTTTTGAGACAGAGTCTCACTCTGTAACCCAGGCTGGAGTGCAGTGGTGTGAGCTCAGCTCACTGCAACCTCCCGGTCCTGGGTTCAAGCAATTCTCCTGCCTTAGCCTCTTGAGTGTCTGGGATTACAGGCACCCACTACCACATCCAGCTAATTTTTGTATTTTTAGTGGAGACAGGGTTTCACCATGTTGGCCCGGCTGGTCTCGAACTCCTGACTTCAAGTGATCTGCCGCTTTCGGCTGGGATTACAGGCATGAGCCACTGTGCCCGGCCAAAATATTTCTTTGTTTTTTTGAGACAGAGTCTCACTCTGTTGCCCAGACTGGAGTGCAGTGGCACGATCTTGGCTCACTGCAACCTCCACCTCCGGAGTTCAAGGGATTCTCCTGCCTCAGCCTCCCAAGTAGCTGGGATTATAGGCATGCAACACCATGCCCAGCTAATTTTTATATTTTTAGTAGAGATGGGGTTTCACCATGTTGGCCAGGCTGGTCTCAAACTCCTGACCTCACATGATCTGCCCGCCTCAGCCTCCCAAAGTCCTGGGATTATAGGTGTGAGCCACCGTGCCCAGCAAAACATTTCTTTACCACAGGAATTCTCAGAACCTTTAGCACGCTGATGCACACTGCAAAGCTCCGTGGGCAAATGCAAAGTGTTTCTGGAGCTTATCTGATCACATACTGTTTTATCAATGGCAACCTTTTCAGTCTAGTATTCCATGCAGAAGAATTCAGGGAATGTTATATGGAATTAATTAAAAAATGTTTAATTCAATTTTTGCATGTTGATAGTACATACCCATTCCTGAAGTCAAAGAGCACCCAGGAGATGTATTTATAGTGAAGACAAGTAGTCCCTGCCCCAGCTCTCTCCACCTTTCTGCCCTGTTTTTCACAAGCAGCCATGTTCAATTCTTTCAGTTATTTTTCCTGGCATTTACCTCTGTTATTTCTAAATAATATGCAAATATTAATATTTATTCTTTTTTCAATTTTAAATATTACTTCTTGATTTCCTGCTGGAGAAGATGAGGATTAGCTATTTTACACCTCTAATTCCCCTCAACACAAATATGCTTTTTCTCCCCCATCTCCCCAGCAAGTTTTATCACAATTCTGCTTTTAATTATTCCAATATCACATAAATACTGTTTGTGACTGAGCCATGTAGCATATTATTTCTCTTTTTTAAAAACTGTTTCCCCTCAGTGTTAATATCTACCTTGTTGTTGTTTGCTTGGTTTAAAAAAAAACACACACATTTATCTCTAATTCCTCATTAAACCCTCCACCAGAGTTTAATAATTCAAGTTATAAATAAATAAATAAATAAATAAAGGAGTCATAAAGCTCCTCTCAATATTGCCACGCCGATAAGACAATGCATTAGCTTCATTTTTTCCCCCTTGGAAACACTACTTAGAATTCTCCAGAAGGCCTTCCTGTCCCAATATGAATTGCTCTCTAGGATTGCTGAAGCTTCTCACCACCTCCCTAGAAATTCCCTTGGTGTCTCTTCTGAACAGAATGAATCCTCCTGGAGTGACTCATCTCTGCTCTGTGCAGGCTCTTCCTCCTCCTGGGTTACTCCCTTGTGTGTGGAGCACATCCTCCAGGAGCTTCCTGACAAAGTGTCCACATCCACCACACTGGAGCCCTTGGCTGCCTGGAAATGACTTTATTTCCTCATGCTTGATGAAAATTTTGCCCAGTAAATATTCTTAGTAACCATTTTCTACTTTCGGCATTGTTGCTGAAAAGTTGATGTTCCTTTTGATTCCTGATCCTTAATATAAAAGCCTTTTTTGAAGGCTTTTATGATCTTTATTCCTAGTGTAGTGAAATTTACAAAAATATGTATTTGACAACAGATCTTTCTCCACTCATTTTGTCGGGCACTTCATGGGCTCTTTTAAACTCAAACATTCATATCCTTCAATTCTGGACAACTTCCTTATGTTATTTCCTCAATAAATTTGTCTCTCCTCCTTCTCACTCCTTTATTTCTGAAACTCCTAGTACTCAAACATGGGACTTATGAATTATCTTAACATTCTTAGTTTTTCCTCAGACTTTTTGTTCTCTTAGAGGTTTAACATTATCTTATGCTTCAGGTGAAATTTTCTACTTTTGCTACCTTCTTTTTTTTTTTTTAATACTTTTAAGTTATAGGGTGCATGTGCTTCTAAAAGCTCTCTCTTGTTCCTTTTCTACAGCATCTTTTCTTGTCTCATAAATACAAAATGGGCTCTTACAAGATGTTCCCATATATCTGAAGCTACTAATTACAATTTTTCTTTTTTTTTTTTCCTGAGACAGTCTTGCTCTGTCTCCCAGGCTGGAGTGCAGTGGTGCAATCTCGGCTCACTGCAACCTCCGCCTCCCGGGTTCAAGTAATTCTCCCACCTCAGCCTCCTGAGTAGCTGGGATTACAGGTGCACCCTGCCATGCCCAGCTATTTTTTTGTATTTTTAGTAGAGACAGGTTTTCACCATGTTAGCCAGGCTGGTCTCTATCTCCTGACCTCGTGTTCCACCCACCTTGGCCTCCCAAAGTGCTGGGAGTACAGGCGTGAGCCACCACGCCCAGCCTCGTTTTTAAGTTTTCTTCTGCTCCTCAGTCTCTCGTTCTTCTGCAGGTTTTAAACAATATTGTTTACTAGCTTATAGTCTACGTATTTCAGTTGTTTTCATTTTGGAAGCTTTCTTAATTGAATATGATTCCTCAGCTGTCTATTTGTATTTGAGTGAGGCAACAAAAGTTGACTCGAAGTTATGCAGAGTGTGGGCTCAGCATCAGAGGGTGGTAAGAGCAGACCTAGCTGTTTCACCACATACATACAACCTAAATATCCATATCTGCAGGCCTTTTCTTGTGGGCTGGTCAAGTGCAGTTTTGCAGATGAATGCTCCATTCTTCCGCACAGGGGATGTGAGTTTGGCTGCCGGAGTTCTGGGACCTACTGGGGAAAAGGGCCTAAACAGTCTTATTGTTTACTACGTAGGCTTTCACTTAGTTCCTCTGTTTTCAATACATTTGTATGTCTACCTGTCCTCAAGTGTGTTAGAGTCAAGTCTGGAGCCCCTCAGGTGAAATTCCACATTGCCTGATGAGCTAGGGATAGGGTGATCACCTGGCTAAGCGGAGGATCAAGGGATCTTACTTCACATACGTGCTTTCAACACACCTTATCTTTCAAGATCCTGGTGCCTTCAATTCCTGAGCCCTTCTAGAATTCTGTGGTACACACCAGCACATATTGTTGTCATTGTTTTGGGGTGCCACAAGCCCCATAAATGTTGTATGTGTTCTGACTGCTCCACTGACCAGCCATTCTCCAATTTCTCTTCCTCTCCTTGGACCCCTCTATTTCCTGAGACCCAATAATATTGAAATCAGGCCAATTATTAATAATAACCCTACAATGGCCTCTAATTATTCAAGTGAAAGAAAGAGTCTTATATCTCTCACTTGAAATCAAAAGCTAGAAATAATCAAGCTTAGTGAGGAAGGCATGTCGAAAGCCAAGACAGGCCAAAAGCTAGGCCTTTTGCACAAAATGGTTAGGTAGGTTGTGAATGCCAAGGAAAGCTCTGAAAGGAAATTAAAAATGCTACTCCAATGAACACATGAACGATAAGAAAACAAACCCACCGTATTGCTTATATGGAGAAAGTCTGAGTGGTCTGGACAGAAGATTAAACCAGCCACAACATTCCCTTCCTTAAGTTAAAACCTAATCCAGAGCAAGGTTCCAACTCTCTTCAGTTCTATGAAAGCTAAAACAGGTGAGAAAGCTGGAAAAGTTTGATGCTAGCAGAGGTTGGTTCATGGAATTTAAAGTAAGGAGTCATCTCCATAACAGCAAAGTGCAAGGTGAAGCAGCAAGTGCTGATGTAAAAGCTGCAGCAGCTTATCCAGAAGATCTAGCTACGATAACTGATGAAGGTGGCTATGCTAAACAGCAGATTGTCAACAGACAAAATAGACTTTTATTGGAAGAAGATGACACCTAGGACTTTCATAGCTAGAGAGAGGAAGTCCATGCCTGGCTTCAAACCTTCAAAGGACAGTCTGATTCTCTTGTTAGGGACTAATACAACTGGTGACTTTTAAGCTGAAGCCAATGCCTCATTTACTACTCTGAAAATCTTTGGAGGCATCCTGAAAATCCATAGAATTATGCTAAATTTACTCTGCCTGTGCTGTATAAATGTAACAACAAAGCCTGGGTGAAAGCATATCTGTTTGTGGCATAGTTTACTGAATACTTTAAGCCTACTGTTCAGACCTACTGCTCAGAAAAAAAAAACAAATTCCTTTCCAAATAATATTGCTCCTTGACAATGCACCTGGTCACCCAAGAGCTCTCATGGAGATGAACAAGGAGAACAACGTTGTTTCATTGTTGTGAACGCAACACTGATTCTGCAGCCTATGGAATAAGGAGTCATTTCAACTTTCAAGTCTTATTATTTAAGAAATACAATTTGTAAGGCTATAGCTGCCATAGATAATGATTCCTTCAACGGATCTAGGTCAACTGAAAACCTCTGGAAAGGGTTAACTATTCCAGATGCCATTAAGAATGTTCATAATTAATGTGAGGAGGTCAAAATATCAAACATTAGCAAGAATTTTGAAGAAGTGGATTCCAACCCTCATGGATGACTCTGACAGGTTCAAGATTTCTGTGAAGGAAATAGCTACAGATGTGGTAGAAATAGCAAGAGAACTAGAATTAGAAGTGAAGCCTGAAGATACGATTGAATTACTGCAATCTCGTGATCCAACTTAAACAGATGAGGAGTTACTTCCTATGGATGAGCAAAGGAAGTGGTTTCTTGAGAAGAAACCTACTTCTGGTGAAGATGCTGTGAACATTTTTGAAATGACAAGAAAGGACATAGAATGTTATGTACACTGAGTTGATAAAGCAGCAGCAATGTTTGAGAGGATTGATTCCAATTTTTTAAGTAATTCTACTATGGGTGAAATGCTGTCAAACAGCAACGCATGCTGCAGAGAAATCTTTCCAGGAAGAAAGAGTCAATCGATGTAGCAAACTTCATTGTTATCTTATTTTAATTAAGATAATGCCACAGCCATCTTAACCTTCAGCAACCACCACCTGATAAGTCAGCAGCCATTACCATAGAGGCAAGACTCTCCACCATCAAAAAGATTACAACTCACTGAAGGCTGATGATCATCAGCAATAAAGTATTTTTAATTAAGGTATGTACATTGTGCTTTAAGACATAATGCTAGTGCACATTTAATAGACTACATACTGTATAAACATAATTTTTATATGCACTAGGAAAGCAAAAAAAAAATCATGTAACTAGCTTTACTGCAGAATGCAGTGGACTGGAACAGAATCCACAATATCTTTGAGGTATTGCTATCATATGTTTCCAACAATCACATTTCAACATATCTTGATAGAAAAATCACAATATTCATATACTTTTTGTATTATGTAGCTAAAAAGCAATGGGCTATTTAAAAATATAGAATACCCATTTCTTTATAGCTGCACAAGTAATAATACGAGTTAGTCAGAGCTGGCAGCCACTGACAGAGCACTTAGCTGGTGCCAAGCACTATTCCAAGCACTTTACTGATTCCCTAAAACCCTATAATGTACTGTACTATTATTATCCCCATTTCACACACGAGAAAACCACCTTCTAGGGTCACATGACCTGTACCCAAGCTGTCCAACCTCCTGCAAAAATTTCCTCTCAAAATTCTAGGCCTTCTTACCATGTTCCTTGAAACTCTTGTTGCATTATAAACATATTTCCATGCCTAACTTCTTCACAACAGAATGTCTCTCTAACTTTTCATTTAACAATGAAGACTAGCCTGACCATTTCTACCTCTGCTATCTTCCTCTTAAGGGAAGTTCCTCTTTTCCCACACCCACATATCAGTCTGGAAATGCCCTGGGTCACAAGGCTCACCCACTCATTCAAAAGTCCCTTCTCTAGGCCAGGCGTGATGGCTCACGCCTGTAATCCCAGCACTTTGGGAGGCTGAGGCGAGTGGATCATCAGAGGTCAGGGGTTTGAGACCAGCCTGGCCAACACGGTGAAACTCCATCTCTACTAAAAATAAAAAAAATTTGCTGGGCGTGGTGGTGTGAGCCTGTAATCCCAGCTACTCGGGAGACAGAAGAAACGCTTTAACCCAGGAGGCGGAGGTTGCAGTGAGCCGAGATCATGCCATTGCACTCCAGCCTGAGCAACAACAGTGAAACTCCATCTCAAAAAAAAAAAAAAAAAAAAAAAAAAAAATGCCCCTTTTTTGACACGGACCCCATTTTTTTTTTTTTTTTTTTTTTTTTTTGAGACGGAGTCTTGCTCTGTTGCCCAGGATGGAGTGCAGTGGCGCGATCTCGGCTCACTGCAAGCTGCGCCTCCCGGGTTCATGCCATTCTCCTGCCTCAGCCTCCCGAGTAGCTGGGACTACAGGCGCCCGCCACCACACCCGGCTAATTTTTTGTATTTTTAGTAGAGACAGGGTTTCACCGTGTTAGCCAGCACAGTATCGATCTCCTGACCACATGATCTGCCCGCCTTGGCCTCCCAAAATGCTAGGATTACAGGCGTGAGCCACTGCACCTGGCCAAGGACTCCATTCTTAATGCTGCCAAATGCCCTCCTACAATCTTTGTGGGACAAATGAAATGTACAGAAAGCACCTCTGGAAAATTCGCACACATACAACCTTTTGTGAACAATTTGATCCATGGCCTCCCTGGAGCTCTTCTGAAGCTCTTCCATTTACAGCCTGCACACAACCCAATCTCCCATCCCTGCCTGGCAGTCTCTCAAACTATGGTCCACAGGCCACCCATATCAGAATTACCTAGAATGCCTGTTTCAAACCATTCTAAATTTAAACCATTCTAGAGGCTTGTGGAATAAGGAGTCATTTCAACTTTCTCCACTGGAATTAACTTTAGAATGGACTCCCCAAGGATGAAGCCCAGGAATCCCCATTTTAAATACTCTCCCCAGGTGACTCTTATGGCTCATTAACATTTAGTGCCCATCTCTAAGGACACATGACCCTGATTGAGAACTTGTGTTCTAAAATACTCATTTCTATTCATTTCTGCCTCATCCCTTGGCCTCATTCTAGAAGATTTTAACATCAATACAATAATCCACCTCACCTATGTATTAGCTTCATTGGGGGTAGGGGGGTGGTGGTATATTAGTGACCAGCTCCTCCTGTCCATGATAGCAACCCACTCCTGTTATTGTCACATCCTAGATCCAGAACAGCTCCACTCATCAACACTCCTAACACCAAGAGTGTACTCTGCCCAACCTATCCATCTTTCTCTCCACCAAATCTGCTCTTGGGCCACAGCCAGACCCAATCCCATGACTTCCGCTTCCTCCCAACTAGCAAAGCCCGCCTCCAGCTTCAGTTCCAGAGGCGCCCAGCACAGATGACAGTCTGTCTCATGTCCTCTGAGACTGACTCCCCACGGACTTCAGAAATACCAACCCTGTACCTTCCTTCTCTGAGATGGCCACTGCAGGACTTGGGATGCCAGAGCTAGTCTAGCAGGCTGTTACCCTTAGACTCCTTTTCCATCTCCAGTTCAGGTTGGCCTAGTGATAACAGCCATTATTATAACTAATATTTACAAAGCACTAACTGAATTAGGTAACAATTAATTCATTTAATCCTTATAACAACTCTATGATAGGGGTACATCATTATCCCATCATAAATCAGTGACATTGAGGCCAAGAGAGATAAAATAATTTGCCTAAGGTCTCAAAGGTAGTGTGTGACCGAGCTGAGATTTGAAGCCCTCCAGCCCCTTTCCACAGCCTGAGCTCATGCTCCTTTCCTTCTGCTCTAGTAATGGAGGAGAAGAGCAGGAAAAGAAAAGAGCAACCCAGTCATTTGCCTCTTGGAGAAAACTAGCTCAGGGCTCCTATTTTGCTGGAAAACTTTGCCCTGTGCTCCACTCCTTCATCTTTATATTTGGGATTCATGTTTTACCTTCTCCTGAGTTTTTTATAACTCATCTCCAAAAGATGGCAACAGACAGTGGTTTTTAAAAAAAGTTTTGGAAAGCTTATTTATCAGTTTTATGTTGAAACCTTTGTCTTTTATCAGCCGGGACTTCTAAAGAGTAGCATGTAAAGTAATATGGAAAACTTCGAGACTGGAATGAATACTGTGGCAAACTTTTCAAACTCACCTCTTATTTTTCTTGTAATTCTCCAGTTGCTGGGACTGCATATGTTTGCATCTTTCTAATTCACACTGCCCACATAAGTCTTCCAGATGCAGCAGGTTGTTCTCTACCTCCTCAAAACTCGCCTCTAAATGAGCTGAAAGTATATAAAAATAAACAGACCTCAAAAGTCAGAATCCTCAATCATGATGAATACAAAAAGTATCAAAAAGGTAAAAGTTCACATTGTTGAGATTGTTTTGCATTTTTAATGTTTTTTATTAAACTTTCTTGAAGCAAAATAAAATATACTGGCCAACATTAAACCATAATTCAAATTACTTTTTTGACTACATTTCAAGCATTTTCAAGAAATAACTTTCCTAAACACTTATTAACCAGGAAGACAAAGAAATGGAGAAACATTATCTTGATTAACGTAATGCTATATCCTAATGATCCCATATACCACATGTGAATAACCAATTTTCACATAAGAATATGGTAAAATATAATTAACACAAATTATACCTACCTTAACCTAATTACACCTATACTTAACTAACTTAATATCTGTGTTTCTAAATTACGTTAGCATTTGTTTTGCCTCTGGCACATCACATACACAAATCTTCAAGGCACAGTAGATATGCACAAATACTTGGTAAGCATGAGTTACCAGGCTACTCAGTGGTTGGGTGAGGAACAGACTTTGCTCTGCCTGTCAGGTGACTAGTCTTTCACTACTCCACTCTGCTGCTAGGCCACAGAGCCTTGCAGCTGTATTGGAACATGAAGATCACCCACTCAAACCTTTCACTGAGAAGATTCAAGACTAAAGCCTAGAAAAACAAATACAGTGCCTTGCCCAGGCAAGCTAGTGAAGGGCCACACGGCCAGTGAAGGGCAGTCAGGAATCCAAACTGAATCCCTCTCACATTACACTAATTTCCAATTGACAGGGTGCTAAGTAAACTGAGATTGTAGGGGCAAGGATTAGTTGTTTTCTTATACGAAAGAAAAGCTTTCGAGGTCAAAGATTTGAGAACTCAGAGCCTCATAACTAGTTATCTATTATTCACTGACATATGCCAGTCACTGTGCCAGTCACTGTGATACAAAGATGAAAAAGACAGTCCTGGAGCTCAAGGAGCTTACAGGAGAGGGGAGGTATATTTCAATGGCAACAGAGCATGACAGAGTAAGGCATGAGGTGCCGAAGGAACTCAAAGGAGTGGCATCTAACACAGATGAGGGAAAGCTCAGCCAGAAATGACTCCCAAGTCAGGAAGTAACAGCGATCCAGTGGGGAAGGGAGCAGTGAAGAACAAGTTGGCTGTGCAGCCTTCCAGTCTTGGGTTCACTTAAACGGCTACAATATAATTCCTTCATTTACGTACTAGCTTTTTACATGACTTTCTAAACTAGCTTTCATAGCATTTAGGTTTGAGGCAAACTCCTCAAATTTCAACTTACAATTATAGGTTTATTGTAATGCAAATTTTTGCCGTTTTTTGAAGTCCTAGAGAGAGCAATTAGGCACAAGAAAGAAATAAAGACATCCAAATAGGAAAGGAGGAAGTCAAAATGCCTCTGTTTGCAGATGACATGATCTTATGTATAGAAAACTCTAAAAGCGCCACCAAAAAAACTTTCAGAACTTGATAAATAAATTCAGTAAAGTTGCAGGATACAAAATCAATACACAAAAATCAGTAGCATTTCTATACAACAACAATGAAATTGCAGGGGGGAAGAAATCAAGAAAGCAGTCCCATTTACAATAGTTACAAAATATTACAATACTTAAGAATAAATTTAACCAAGGGAAGGAAAGAGCCAGGTGTGGTGGCTCACACCTGTAATCTCAGCACTTCGGGAGGCTGAGGCAGGAGGATTGCTTGAGCCTAGGAGTTTCAGATCAAGGGGATGAAAGATCTCTACAAGACAAAGTATAAAACACTAATGAAAGAAGTTGAAGAAGACACAAAAATGAAAAGACATCCCCATGTTCATGCATTAGAAGAATATTGTGAAAATGATCATGCTGCCAAAAGTGATCTACAGATTAAATGCAATCCCTATCAAAACACCAATGACATTCCTCACAGAAATAGAAAAAAAAAATTCTAAAACTCATATGGAATCACACAAGACCCTGAATAGCCAGAGCAATCCTGAGTTAAAATAACAAAGCTGGAATCATCAGATTGTCTGACTTCAAAATATACTACAAAAAGCTATAGTAACCAAAACAGCATGATGCTAGCATAAAAACAGACATGCTGGAACAGAACAGAGAACCCAGAAAACCCACAAATAAATCCACATATTTATAGCCAACCAGTTTTTGACAAAGGCACCGAGAACATTCATTGGGAAATACATGGTCTCATCAATAAACGATGCTGGGATAAGCGAATATCCATATGCAGAAGAATGAAACTAGACCCCTAACGTTCACCCTATACAAAAATCAACTCATAATGGACTAAAGACTTAAATGTAAGAGCTGAAACCATGAAACTACTAGAAGAAAACATATGGGAAACATTTCAGAACATTGGTTTGGACAAAGATTTTATGGAGAAGACCTCAAGACACAAGCGACAAAAGCAAAAATAGACAAACTAGACTGTATCAAACTAAAAAGCTTCTGCCTGGAGAAAAAAAAACATCAAGACTGAAAAGACAACCAGCAAAATGGGAGAAAATACCTACAAACTACTCATCCCACAAGGGATTAATATCCTTTCCTTTGAATATATCCCTAGTACTGGGACTGCTGGCCATATGGTGTTCTATTTTCGTTTTGTTTTGTTTCAGAGGAACCTCCATACTATTTTTCATAATGGCCCTATAATTAAAATTCCCAAGAAATTCTTACACAAGGAACCCAAACAATGCAACAGCAAAAAATAAAAATTAAAAAAAACCTATTAAAAATGGGCAAATGAACTGAATAGACATCTCTCAAAAGAAGGTACATGAATGGCCAACAGGTATATGGAAAAATGTTCAACATCACTAATTATAAAGGAAATACAAATCGAAACCACAATGAGATATCATCTCACCCTCGTTAGAATAGCTATTGCCACATGGAAATAACAGGCACTAGGGACTCCAAAAAGGGGGGAAGCGTGGGAAGGGACAAAGATTGAAAAACTACCTACTGGGTACAACGTTCACTGTTTGGGTATTGGGTACACTACAAGCCCAATCTCCTCCAATATGCAATACAGCCACACAACAAACAAGCACATGTACCCCCTTACCCCCTAAAACTAAAAAAAAAAAAAGAATAGCTATTAGCGAAAAGACCAAAAATAACAAATTCTGTCAAGAACGCGGAGAAACGAGTTCTCATACGCTGTTGTCGGGAATTTAAATTAGTATAACCACTATGGAAAACAGTATGGAAGTTCCTTAAAAATTCAAAAGTAGAACTACCATATGACCAGCAGTCCCACTACTATCGGGAATACAGCCAAGGGAAAGGAAATCAGTATGCTGAAGCATTATCTGCACTCCCATGTTCATTGCAGCTCTATACACAATAGCCGAGATATGAATTCAACCTAAGCATCCATCAATAGATGAATGGATAAAGAAAATGTGTTATATATAAACGATGGAATACTATTCAGCTGTAAAAAAGATTTAAGTACTATCATTCGCAGCAACATGGATAAGCCTCGAGGACATTATGTTAAGTGAAATAAGCCAGGCACAGAAAGATAAATACTGTATGTTTTCACCCACATGTGGAAGCTAAAAACGTTGATCCCAGGGAAGTAGAGGGTAGAACAGTGTTTACTAGAGGCTGCTGGGGAGGTGGGCAGTAGCCAAAGGTTGGTTAACAGATACAAAATTACAGCTAGATAGGAAGAATAAGTTCTAGTATTCTATAGCACTGTAGGGAGAGTATAACAATTTACTGTACATGTTCAAATAGCAAAAGAGTGGATTTTGAATGTTCCCAAAACAAAAAAATGATGTTTGAGGAGATGGATATGCTGACTACCTTGATTTATTACACACTGTGTACATGTATCAAAAATCACACTGTGCCCTATAAATATACACAATTATGTGTCAATTAAAAATAATAATAAAAGCAAAAAATATACGTAAATACTTAAAAATTTTTTAAAAGAAAAGAAACTGGGAGAAAATCATTGCAGAACATACATGATAAAGGACTGTTATCCAAAATATTACAAAGTACTCAATTTGCAACTGAGGGACAGTCTACAAAATATCTGATCACCATGTCTCAAAAAATTGTCATGGTCATCAAAAACAAAAAATGTTTGAGAAACTGTCAGAGCCAGGAGGAGCCTAAGAAGACAAGATGACTAAATTTAATGTGGTCTCCTGAATGAGACCTTGGAACTGAAAATAATATTAAGTAAAAAAAAATTAATAAAGTATGAATTTTTATTAATGAAGATTTTATTTTTAATTAATCTTTGTTTGATCCAAACAGCTATTAGATAATCCAGAAGTGTTGACATTTTCTCTTTTTATCCTCCTCTCAAGCATTTATCCTTTGAGTTAGAAACAATCCAATTACATTCTTTAAGTTATTTTAAAATATACAATTAAGTTATTATTGGCAATAGTTACCCTACTGTGCTATAAAATAGTAGGTCTTATTCCTTTTTTTTTTTTGACACTTTCTAATATCCTAAATTTTAACTCTATTAAATATTTGTGCTTATAAAAACTCCCTCTCCTCTCTGCTAGGGTGTAAGGCTTAAAAACATGAATTTGGTCGGGGGGGAATAACATTTTATTCAAAAGTGAAAATTTGATGACAAGCAGTTTAGCAGTTTTCTTCAGACATTTTAGGTACTGACTTTTATCATATTAATATATCACGGTAAATCTGGAAAAGGCTAATAATAATGTAGTTCATGGTGCTTTTGAATCTAGCTTCAGGGACCACATCAAACAGCTACTATATGTGATTATGGAACGCTTAAATGAAACAATTTGTAAAATCTAAATTTTAGCCAATAACTGTATTTAAGATTTTAAAGAATGTCATAAATGGTACATAAGGAGTTTATATGGGGGAATCAGGCAAAATGATGTACTGCCATTTATATATATATTTTTTTGTAGAGACGAGACCTCACTATGACCTGGCTGGTCTTGAACTCCTGGGCTTGAGCGATCTTCCTGCGTTGGCCTCCCAAAGTGCTGGAATTACAGGTGTGAGCCACCCCACCCAGCCTACATTGTTTTTTGTTTTATTAAATGAAAAACTGACTAGGAGATTCAGCTTGGGAGCTAGTACTCCTAGTACTAAAGAAGCAATATTCAGCTCATTCTGTTATAACTAGTCTGACATGGTCTTAAAATGTATAAAACACTATCATAGCTAATAGGATTATTTAAAAGGCTGTTTCATTTTGATTAGTGATAAAAACTAGAATAGTTAAATTTAATATAGACTCCATTTAACTCTAAGCTACTTGGTGCATTCAGTATCGTGCATGTATGCTTAGCATATGGGGGACGGGTTAAGAGCTAGGCTTTGAAGCACAAGCTTAAAAACCCAGCTCTGCTCCTGCCAGATGAGATGCAATGTGATACCTCGTCTGTGAAGAGAGAGCTAACAACACATATCTTGCAAAGCTGTTAAAAGGATTAAATGAGCCGAAGTACCTAAACTTAATACTTGACAGTAAATAATTAATGTTTGAATATAAAAAATAGAGAAAATTTTTAGATTAGCTAAGTTTTATATTTAATAAAAGTGATTGAAAACTAATAATTTCATTGACCAGTAATGATCATGATGTAAACAAGATCTATGGATCTATTAGATCAAAATGTCAACAACATTTTCATTTTTATCTTACAAACTTACACACCTATAAGTTATTTTCCAGGCTATAGTCTTAGACTTAAGATCTCCTACAGGTAAAAGGAATTAAATTTCAAATGATTTTTCTGAAAAGAAACTATGTAATGGAGCCAACAATTATTCTATGCTGGAAAATGTGTATGTTCTTTTTACCTCTTTAATCTTTATCTGGACAGATGGCAATTTCCATTTAGATTCTAGCTCTGTTGGTTGACTACAGAGCTAATGAGGCCAGGAACTTAAATGAGGTTGATCTCTAGGCAGGCCAATTAATTTCTCACAGACAGAAATTCTGTTCTAGGTACAAATTGTACTTGCTGCCCTAGTCACTCTTTTGTTAATAACGTGGGGACCAGATGAAAACATGTGAGTGGTTTATCAACCTGGAATTCCTAATGAGAAACAAACTGTACATACTTCTGAATAGGACGGCCTCATGCTCTTGTGCTGAATGACAAATTTAGACTAAAAATGCTTGAAATAGTCCGTGGTCATTTTACTGCTAACACCAAATTCATATTTATGTTCTCCCCTTTAAAAAGCTTCACAGGCTCCCCAGCCCTTTCAAGTTAAACTCCTTATCATTCAGAGAGCTACTGCTCTCTGGCCACAAACTGTTTACTTCACTTCTTTCCTTCACATATTCTACATTACAGCAAAACAAGAGGAGTACTGAGCGTTGGTGCCTCCTCCTCCTTGCCTCTGCCTGTCCCTAACCCCGGCCTGTCTTTTCAGGCTTAGGCCAGTGGCAGCCCGCCCTCCTCCCACAGGGCTCCCTTCCTCTTCTGTGCTTCCCCAGACCTTTCAGCCTCACACAGGACTCACATTCTGACTGATATCATCCAACCAGTTGTGTACTCTCATATCTCTCAGGAATCAGTAAGGGCCTTAAAGGTGCAGACTGTATTTTTGCTTTTTTGCTATCCCCTAATAACCCTGTCTGTTGAATTCAATAAAGAATAATTTCTGGTGATAGAATGATTTTATTACTCTAACATGTAAAATAACTGAGAAGGCAAAACTATTCATGGTCATCTAGTTTAAATATTAAGAGACTATGCCAAATTTTGTAAAAGAATAAACATGAGCAGAGAACTTAGAAAACATTAAACAACATGATGATACTTTTAGTATATTAAACCAGGTCACATTATCAGTGACTTAAAACAGAAGAAATGATGAAAATTTTCCATTTTAACACTTAGCAGACTTGAAATCAGTAACAAAATATAAAATAATTGCATTGAAAAAAATAAAGGTTCATCCCCTTATATTAAACTTAAAAAAGCTCTTCATATAATAATGACAAGTACATACGTAATGTGTATTCCGAATATTTTATGTTGAATTTAAGTTAGCAGAAATTTAATTTCCCTGTCACAGCCTGCTCATTTCCTGTTGCAAAACAAGTTGCATATATGAGTACATTTGGTAACCAACTTAGGATGCATATACATAAAATACTAGCAGGCCTCCATGGACACAAATATACCTTTACAAGAAGCTCAAGCCTCACCATTTTGCTCGCTATAACAACCGCATATGTCTCATTTAGTGATCAGTGAAAGAGATAGGTAGAATTTTATTGTGAAAAGCCATTTGGGAATGCCTGACAGCTGTGCAAAAAAGAGCTTCACAAATTTTTGCAAGAAGGCCGTCCCAGAGGAAAAGCAATTCTGTTTGGAATTTTTCTTTGTGCCATTTGTTTCAAATACATATCATCTGTAGTGTAACCACTGATATATAAAGAATGAAGCAGCACACTAAAATTATTTCCCACTTAATGAGTTATTTTCTAACAAAATAATTAGCCTTATGGAACAAAGAACTCTCCTTGGCTGCAAACCCATAGGTCACAGAGGCCAGGTACTGAAAGACCACAAGACTGTTCAAATGCTTACGTTACACTTTTATGTACTAAGGTAATAAGGTAATGATGGTATGAATAAGGAAACTTTAAGAAGTACATTAACTTGCAAAAGCCATTATGGAACAAATGAGATCTATGTAGTAGCCTAAAAGGTGTCTAAGAGAATTAATGTGCCTCTTGAAGGGTCTAGCCTCAGAAAGGAACCTGGACATCTGATAATCTAGTCCATGAAAAACTGACAGAGCTATGATAATCTCTTTGTTAGATGCCCTCTAAAATTCTGTACAGAAAAAAGCAAAATAATACTGTATCAGGCTAGGTCAAACCAAAAGAAAAACACAAACTCAGTATACGGCTGCTATTCTCTTATATCTAAGAATTCTTATCTAAGAGTTAACAGCATCTTCTGGCTGGGTACAGTGGCTCAATCCTGTAATGCCAGAGCTTTGGGAGGCTGAGGCAGGAAGATCGCTTGAGTCCAGGAATAGTCTGAGGCTGCAGTGAGCTATGATCACATCACCATGCTACAGCCTGAACAACAGAGTGAGACTCTGTCTCTTAAAAAAATTAAAATTTTAAAACAAAAACAAAACCCAGAATCTTCTGTTCTAGATGAAGGGAACAGTCTTTTAAAAATAGGTCATATAAAATAAACTAAGAGAAAATTCAAAGACAAGGCTTTAACATTTTGAACTTCAATAAAGGAATAGGATTATACTACCCTCTAGTGGAAGTTCAAGATAATTCAGTATATACTTTTCAAACATATTTTTCCAGTTTTATGATTAAAAAGCACTGTGGTTTTTCACAGAATAAGAAAGTGCATAGAATCTGGATAAAAATATTCCATTGTATGCTTACACACCTTCAATGTACAGAATACTAATATCACCACATTGAATCTTGTGGTTTTGCATTCTAAACTGTTTTGCAGCACAAGCTAAACTGCCTAACATCCATCCAAACCCTCGTGTCACAGAATAATGGTTTTGTGAATTCGCAAAGGCTAGAGAGGCCCCCATTAGAACGTCAGCATCTTGATGGCAGGTGCCCAGCCTTGTTCACTGCTGTGTGTCCAGAGTCTGTACGCAGTGCGTGGTGCGTGGCAGATGCCCAGCATGTACCAGGCACTGTGCTAAGTGGTTACGTTTGTCATCTCCTTTAATCCTCCAAATACCTACAAGACAGGTATGCTCATCGTCATTTTGCAGACAAGAAAACTAAAGCTTGGAGCCATTGAGAAATCTGCACAGTTTTTAAAGTGAGGAAGTTGGATTGGGAGCCAAACCCGATCTGTCAGTTCATAGCCCTTGTTTTCCAGTTCCCAGCATACCCTTATTACTTATTTTTAAAACGACAAACCTTACCAGTAAGTATCAATTAAATAGGCTCCTGTAAGCTGGACTGAAGCCAATATGAATGGATCATCTGTTGTAACTTAACAATTCCCAAGGGGCTAGGTACCAGGAGCCATATTAATGAAGCCATGGGATAACACAGCTAAAAGCATCATCAAAAGTCCAAATTGCTCACATAACATAAATCCTTTGCCCTTCAATAAAAGCAGGGCCTCTAGAGAGCAAAGTAAGACCAAAAGAGTGAAGCAGCCTGGAAAATGGAGGGACTGACAGGATATGGTGTTACATTTGACAGTGAAAGGGCAACAAGTTCAAAGAAGTTAGGGGGACCCTGTGACTAAATATAATCGGTTACCATTTTCTTCTAAGTTTGTTTTTATTTTTTATTATTGCTTAACTATTTAAGCTTTGTAATATTATGTCAAGGTATTTGGGTAATAATAGGAGAGATTTTGAGGCTTCCAAAAAAAAAAACCCAGTAAATGAGTAAGCATTTAAAACACTAAATGTTTCCAAAATCTAAGACTGATACATAAATGCATCAAAATGAATTCATAAAGTACATTAATGGTACAGATACATGTTTACACAACTCACTCCATCAAATTTGGCTTCAAAGTGTTTGTTTTCCTACTGTAAAGAATATCGTCAGCAATGATTCTATAAAGCTTAAATTGCTTAGCTAAAAGCCTCATGATTTTAAAACAACTCTCTCTGGGCTTATTCTAGGCCAACAAATACTAACTAGGTCTCTAAAATTCCAAGTTTTGATATGCTATCTTCCACAGTCATTCATTACTAATTATAAATATCAGGCAAATAACAGCAATAGATTAAAACCCAAAGGAAGCATGTATTTCAAAGGCTAACAGATAATTCAGATTGGCAATATATATGAAAAGCAACCATCCAGACATACCTTCTAAAAAAAACTGAACTAACTCTCTAAAAAGAGCTCAATATCGGTTAGACATAGATGAGAGGAAAAAAATGACTCAAATTAATTTAGCAGTGATTAACCAGAACAGTATATCAGATAATGTTTTAGCTTTCATTTGTCTTTAGTGTTAGATGTTCTCAGATTACTAAAAAAGAGAGGATTCAAGTGAACATTTGGAAGGCCTACCTTGTGCATTTAAGAAGCCAAAATGCAGTTTCTGAAGAATAAGGTCATGTGTCACTAAACATCAAACATTTTTCAGGATATTAGAATCCTAATTGGGAACGAACATACAATATATTCTATGAAAGACTTATAGAGACTGCATTTTCTAAACAGAATTGACTATGAAAATAATGAGAACTGTGGCAGAATGCATTTAATCAATAGAGTGGTATTAAGCAAACAACAACTATCCGTAAACAGATTTACTCTCAGCTGGGGAAATAAAAGAGGTTATCATAAGAGAACATGTCTGCAAAGAAACATACAACCAATGAAAAGCAAGTGACTCAAAGAGATACAGGAAGATGAGCTGAAAGAAAGTGGCTAAGAAGAATGTTCCGAACATCTTAAAGGCTATGTCCAAGGCTTGGGAAGGACCATTACTATACCTGTAAGAGGAAACCAATGCAGACGGCAATCACAGCCATTTTACACTTTTCTAAGACCCAGAATCTCTTTTCCATGCCCTGCCTTCAGAAATAACAAAACACTGACCCTGAAAGGCATGGCAACAGCCAGGGGACTTGAAGAATACAGTTCATAGAGACCTACTGAGAGCTCCCATCCCACTGCCTCATCACCTCATCCTACTGCCTCATACTGATATTGAGGATATCATCAATGTGGTTGGAATCCTAGATGCATTTATAAATTTTATGATTCTGAGCAAGTTGCAACCTCTCCAAGCCTTAGTTTATCTGTAAATTGGGAATAATAAAAGCTACTTTTGTGGGGTTCTTGTGAGAATTACAGATAGTATCTGTAAATCATCTAATCATCTCTGACATACAGTAGGTGCTATAAACATTAGCTACTGTTATCAGCAACAGCACTCCAAATACTACGTATCTATTTTGTTCACACACAAAAAACTGTCTTATGACTTGCCAATTACTTGCCTTGTAAATCAGTCATGTTTTGCTTTGAATAAGGCAATATTAAAAACAGGAGGAGATAATAGGGTATCTTTAGCTTCCCACCTAAAAGACTAAAACAGGTTATTAGCTCATACAGACAGCTCCTACCTCCTACTTTACTAAGATCTTAAGCTTGATTAGGAAATAGTAAGCTGCAATATTATCCTTAGATGTGGCATCATCAAACATAAAAGATAATTTTCTGAATATAAACCCAAGAAAAAAAGAATACCAACATAATCCATCCAAATGAACAACGACAAAAAAATAAATTTCCACAGAGTATAAATTTAGCCAAACAGGTACCCTAATTTACTTTGTTGTTGTTGTTGTTTGAGACAAGGTCTCACTATGTTGCCCAGGCTGGATTCAAACTCCTGGGCTCAAGCACTCCTCCTGCCTCAGTCTCCAGAATAGCTGCAACTGCAGGCACGTGCCACCACACCCAGCACAAGTACCCTCATTTAACCAGGTTTGTTTGATCTCCAATCCGTTTGAAGAGAAAAAAATACACTACAAGACATGAAGTTCTAGCATATCTAAATTTTAAAAGCAACAATTTCTGGAATACATTCTACAGTAAGGACAAAGTCACCTAATCCATTTTCTATATGTATGCTTTTAAACAGAGACCAAATGTCAACAAAGACAACCTGAGTCACTTTAAGAATCAACATAATTATAATTATGTGTCCGGAGCTGACCTGAGGCAGAAACAGAACTAATTTCTACACTTTACATCATTTTCTGTGGAATCCTCAACTAATCAAAATATGAAATCATGATTTTCCAAAAAATCCTGTTAACCCAGAATTTCATGTGTTCCTGAAAAGCTCTGAAATTACACCAAACCCTGCCCAAGTTGTTTTCATTCCTAAAAGTAATGTACAATGAAAACATTGGACTTACTCAGATTTGCTGTCATGGATTCTAAGTCTGCGATTAAAGCTGGGAGCTGCTGGAGCTGCTCTTGCAGCTCCACGAGGCTTGTCTTTTTCTTCTCCCAGTGCGCAGAAAGCATGACCACCTCGCTATCCACCAGCTGCAGCACACAAGAAGGGGGGTAAAGTGAAACCAGGTTTTAGGCACAAAGAAAGTACAGTTAACGTAATGAGATTTAATGTTATCTTTAACAACCCCTCTACTCAGTAGAGATTACGGTACATTCTAAAAGAGACTGAAGTTGTTTTCATTTTTAGAAAAGAAACAACTTAATATTCAGTGCAGGAAACCTCCAATTACTGCTTGTATCAGTGCATCTTAACCCACAGAAGAGAAAGTTTAAAAATGACTTCAGAAGTCACTTCTAAGTATACCCTGTTTTAAGCAGACCATGTATTTGAAAAGCTAAATCTAGAAAAAAAAAAAACAAAAACAAAAAACTACCACTAACAACCAAAAAGAAAACAAACATAAAACATAATTAACGGGTAATTATTGGCTTTACGAAAGGAAGTCTTCAAAGAAAAGTTCCCTAATACATTTAGAATATACCATGTTTCAATTTACATTTAAACAGGAATACTTATTGCATAAAGTATATAAAGGAATTTTGAGGAAACTGGCCAATTCCAGAATTCCAGAAAAAGAGGAAATGATTTAAGTTAATGAGGAATTCAGCAGATGTAAAGGGTTCCTAATAGCAAGGTTGTGAAATTCTAGAATAGCCTAAGATAATTCTAACTTCTTTTGCTAAAGACTATAAAGAAAATGACAGACATTAGTTTCTCCCAGACAATTCTGTTTTGGTCTTAACATAGTGGGAGGGACAAGGGCCTAGAAAGACTTAGAAGGAGCAAGAAGAGGTGATCTTTTGAAAATATCAACATGAATAAGCAAGAACTGTGGAAAAAACTCCATAATCTGTACGATAAAAAATAAAGGTAACAAAACCCATTATATGACAGAAGAAAATGAATTTGAGTATTCAAAACAGACAATTTGTACATCTCAAGATTAAGGTTCTTTTTTTTTTTTTTTTTTTTTTTTGAGACGAAGTTTCGCTCTTGTTGCCCAGGCTGGAGTGCAGTGGTGCTATCTTGGCTCACTGCAACCTCCGCCTCCCAGGTTCATGCGATTCTCCTGCCTCAGACTCCCCAGTAGTTGGGACTACAGGCACCTACCACCACACCCGGCTAATTTTTTGTATTTTTAGTAGAGACAGGGTTTCACCAAGTTGGCCAGGCTGGTTTTGAACTCCTGGCCTCAAGCAATCCACCCATCTTGGCCTCCCAAAGTGTTAGGATTACAGGCATGAGCCACTGTGCCCGGCCAGGATTAAGGCTCTTTAAGAGTTAGAATCTGAATACAACTGATTCTTACTAAGTTCCACTTAATAAATTAAGAAAGAACTTTGGAGGAATGAATATATCAAAGATACAAAATTATTTGTATGTAGTACTAGATTGTTTTTGTTCGTACATTTCACTATAGTAGGAATTCTCATTTGAAATAAAGAACTAAGCTATGACACATCTCCCTGTGGTTTCTCAGCCCACGCTGGAGGGATAAACACATAATCTCTCACATTCAAGCCTCAACTGAGCTGGGAGGCCACATCAAGTTTCACGCAAACCGCATTTCTCATTATTTTTGTGTATTTAAAAATGTCTGTTGCCAACTGGTCTTTAAAAAAAATCTTTAAAAGTAGCTTAAAACATACTGAAAAAACAGCTAAAATGCAGTAAGGAAACCAAAGCTTGAAACAAGGATCTATGTTCACAAAATTCATTTATAATATTCCACAAACTTCCACTGACCACCCACTATTTGCTAAGCCCTATTTTGGATACTGAAGATGTAATGATTCCTGCCCTCTTATTGTTTATACTTCAGTGGCAGCCCTCATAAATTCTCTTAACTTCAGATTTTAAACTCTAAAAAAAAAAATTCCTATATTATGGGCTATTTTGGTTTCTAATTTGAAAACTCTAGAATAAATAATTTTAGATATTAAAAATTACATATTAACCATTTCTTACTGAAAATTAAAGTGCAATGTTTAAATATTGAAATTTAACTACAGTTTAGTTCATACCTGCAATAAAACTGAAAATTAAATTCTGAATATAGAATATAAGCATATGTAGAAAAACTATATCAGAAAACACTAAACTATCATTTAAAAGAATGGAAGGGTAAACAGATTCTCAGAAATTATCAATAATTATCAACAATTATACAATACTAAAACATTTTGAACATTTTCTAAATACCAGACCCTGTGCTAAGTAATTTACATATATTATCTCATTTAAACCACACAGCAACTCTATACACTAAGCAATATTATAACCTCCATTATACAGATTTTAAAAATTGAGGTGTAATGAAGTTAAGTTACTTCCTTAAGGACCACAGTGGACTTAGATTCCATCCCAGGGAATTTGACAGTAAGCCTATGCCCTTAATCAACCTACTAGGGATTGTGCTATAGGGGTATATAAAGGGAAGAAGAAAAGTAAAAATCTAGCAAAAGAAACGGTTCTGAAAAACTGTACTGTTACCTATTCATTTTATCATGTGTAATTTCTTAATGATTAAAAAAAGCTATCTCCGGAAGTTCAATTTTTCCACCTCGAAGTAACTCAGAATAAACCAAGATTCACCCCCAGGAAATTAAGTTTAAGGAGCAAGACAAACCCATAGTGCTTTATTCCAAAATTCTTTCTGGATATTGAGGTTAGGAGAAGGAAGAAAAAGCACACCAATGATGAAAAGGTACACCAATGATGTAGAATAGGATCTTAGTATAAAACTCAGCAGTTCAGAGTTTTAAGGAACACTTCATTTTATTTGATTTCCACACAAGTTTGATAAGCAGAATAAGTAGTGTTAAGCCATTTTATAGATGAGAAAACTAAGAGAGGCCATGTTATCTGCCCAAGGTCAACAGGTATTTGTGCAGCAAGGAGCAGAAACCAGGATTTCCAACACTACGTTCAGTTCACTTTCTGACAGTGAAACAGTCAAATTCAACTGGCTTAATGTCAAACTGTTAAACAAAACCATGAATCTTGAAAGTTCAATTTGAAGGCAAGCTAATATTTCACAATAACAGGAGAGGCAAAACACTGAAAGTCTAACTTTAGAAAACTGCCCTCAGAGTTTAAGCCCTAAGTATTAACTATTTATGGTATTTTTTTAATACACTGCTAAAGGAGAAAAAAAATCGAAACCCTTATTTAGAAAAAGCCTAGACAGGCTGGGTGCGGTGGCTCACGCCTGTAATCCCAGCACTTTGGGAGGCTGAGGCTGGCGGATCATGAGGTTGAGAGATCGAGACCATCCTGGCCAACATGGTGAAACTCCATCTCTACTAAAAATACAAAAATTAGCTGGGCATGGTGGCATATGTGCCTGTAGTCCCAGCTACTCGGGAGGCTGAGGCAGGAGAATCGCTTGAACCTGGGAGGCAGAGGTTGCAGAGAGCCAAGATCGCACCACTGCACTCCAGCCTGGAGACAGATCGAGACTCCGTCTCAAAAAAAAAGAAAACAAGCCTAAACAACAAAGTTACCTTTGATCACAGTTGCTTGTTTTATAAACTATTGCTCTGAATTCTAAGACTATATAGTTATAATAATTAGCTTTAAAGTAGATGAGTATAAAATAATTTGTTAAACAAGATGGAATTGTCCAAAAGTATATTTGCCCCAGGAGGTTATGCTGGTAAAGCCCACCAAAGACACATGAGCGGTCTGACAAAATAAATTTACAAAATGACAAGTTTAATACTATGCATACTAAAGATATACATTTAAATATTTACATATATCTCAATAATACACCACAGAAGGCTTTAAAATAAACTTTCATTTTTAAGGCTGGGTACTGTTTCTGCAAAGCAACATAAGTACTTTTGATGAGCTGTGGGTTTTACAATAACCAATTATACAAAAATTTAAGATCCTGAGGTAGCACAAATTCAATAACACATCTGACAGGAAATTCTTTCTCCTGTATATATTGTTAATGCTTCTAATAATCAAAAGAATGATTGTTGTTAAAGCTCCTCTATAGGACACAGTCTTCATTTAACATGGGATTCATACATATTGATACATATAGGTGTAGTAGTTCACTAATTTTCACTGCTGTATACGGTATTTATTTTATGAATAATACCACACTTTTCCCTGCAGATGGACTTCGGAACTGTCCAAAGATTAAACCAAGCTTGCTACAAACATTCTGGTACAAATCTCAAGGTGCACATGTGCAAGGGTTTCACAAATGAATTGCAGATGTGTCCAAGATATCCATCTCCTCATTGCCCAGGGCCTAGGGTAATGAGATCCCCCTCCCCAGCCCCTGCAGGTTGGATGTAATGCTCTGGAAAAATTCCTAGAAGCAGAATTGTTGCTTGAAAGGCATGTGCAACTTTAACTTCTACTTAATGCCAACTCATTTTTTCTAACGTGATTGTTCTAATTTATACTCCCAAGTTCTAGTTGTTTATCATCACATTTCTTCCGAGGAAAGAAACAAAACTGTCATCTGCAAATAATGACCATCTGCACAGAAAGCTCAAGCTTCTTAAATTTTTGGTAATCTAATGAGTGAAAATTTGGGGTTTCAATTTGCATTTCCTTGATACCAAGCAAGGTTGAACATATTTTACTGTGTACTGGCCATTCCTGTTTTCTCTTCTGCAATATGCCTGCTGATATCTTTTACTCACTTTTCTCCTAGGTTATTTTCATCCTCTTTTTATTGGTTTATAGGGGTTATTCATATTTTCTGAACACTTAGCCTCTGTCTTATAAATCACTTAATTTTTCACGGTGTTGTTTGATTAAAAAAAGTTTTGACAAAAATTATCAATGTACTTATTTATGGCTGGTGCTTTTTATATCTTACTTAAGAAATCTTTCCCACCCTAAGGTCTTAAACATATTCTCTTCTACCATTTTCCAAAAAATGTATAGTTTTCCTTTTCACATTTAAATCTAATGAAGCCAAAATGTGAACAAGGTCTTCAACTATTTTTATTCAACATTATACTAGAGTTTCTACCCAGTATAAGAAACATGAAAAATTAAAAGTTGTATGGCTTAGAAGGAAAGAAACAAACTTACCATCTACCCAAAACAACTCGCACCCCCAAATACAAAGTAATAGAATAAGAGAATTTAGCAAGATGGCCGAATATGGGATTAAAATACTGCAAGTCAAACACTGCAGGTTTTTGGTAGATATCAGGACAAAGAAGCTGTCTTCCATTAAAAATTTGCTAAAACTTTTTACCCTGAATAGGTATTTAATTTTATGAAATGTATTTTCTGCATCTGACGATCATTTTCACTTTTAATACTTAAGAGTCAATTGCATGTAAAAGATTTTCTAATGTCAAGTTAACCTTTTAATTCTGGAATAAACTAAGTGTATTTTGTTTTTTATACATTGCTGGATTTGGTTTGCCACCATAGGCATACATTGAAGAATGTCTCCCAGGTAGAATGCCTTTTATTATCCAATATTCATAAGCCTTGCAAATATCAATAGCAAGTTTTATATATATAGGAAAACTTTATATTTAAGCTTGATACACATTTTAAAACAACGTGTGAGTAGATTCTCGAATTGCATTTCAAATACAATTGTTAGAACATCATAATTGTTAGAAATTTAAATTGTCTACACACTGAGGCTGTATGAACAGAGTATCGACAGCTAATATGCATGGCTTATATGTGTCCAGCATGGAGACGCCAAGTTACTGCACACAAGCAACTGTTAATTAACATTGTTTTCATGCCCACTAATGCAACATCCATTCTGTAGCCTGTGAATTAAGGAGTCATATCAACTTTTAAGTGTTATTGTTTAAGAAACACATTTTATAAGGTTATAGCTGCCATAGATAGAAGTTCCTTCAATTGATCTGAGCAAACTAAATTGAAAATCTCCTGGAAAGAATACACTATTCTAGATGCCATCACACAACATTCATGACTCATGGGAGGAAATCAAAATACCAACATTAACAGGAGTTTGGAAGAAATTGATTCCAACCCTCATGGATGGCTTTGAGGGGTTCAAGGCTTCAGAAGTAACTCCAAATGCGGTAAAAATAGCAAGAGAACTCGAATTAGAAGTGGAGCTTGAAGATGTGACTGAATTGCCACAATCTCATGATCAAGCATGAATGGATGAGGAGTTGATTGACTCCAATTTTGAAAGAAGTTCTACTATGGGTAAAATGCTATCAAACAGCATTGCATGCTACAGAGGAATCTTTTGTGAAAGGAAGAGTCAATAGATGCAGCAAACTTCATCGCTGTCTTATTCAAGAAATTGCCACAACCACCCCAACCTTCAGTAACCACCACCCTGATCAGTCGGCAGCTATAAACATTAAAAAAAAACAAACAAAACTCTCAACCAGAAAAAAGGTTATGATTCACTGAAGGCTCAGGCAATTGTCAGCATTTTTTAAGCAATACAGTATTTTTTATTTAAGGTATTACATTGCTTTTTTAGACATACTTAATAGACAATGGTATAGTATAAACATAACTTTTATATGCACTAAGAAACTAAAAAATTTGTGTGACTTGCTTTCTGGCAATATTGGCTTTATTGCAGTGGTCTGGAACCAAATTGACAATATTTCTGAGGTATGCCCATACATTCAATCTTTCTGTGTCCTATGTTCTAGGTGTTTCTCTTGTCAGTAACTTATAAACTATTAATAGACTTTTCCTCGTCTTTCAAAATATGCCCTTTAGATTAATCTAGATTAATCATTTAAAAATATTGAGGCTGCAGATATATTCACATTTACCATCTTATTCTGTTTATTCTACTGTTATGCATTTTCCTCTGGTTTCTTGTCATCTTTTGCATTGACTGAATTCTTTCTCATTGTTCTAGTTTTTTTCTACTAGTTTAGAAGATAAACAGAGTCTTGCTCTGTTACCCAGCCTAGAGTGCGGTGGCTCAATCTCAGCTCATTACAACCTCTGCCTCCCAGGTTCAAGTGATTCTCCTGTCTCAGCCTCCCAAGTAGCTGGAATTACAGGTGCCTGCCACCACACCAGGCTAATTTTTTGTATTTTCAGTAGAGACAGGATTTCACCACGTTGCTCAGGCTGGTCTCGAACTCCTGACTTCAAGTGATCTGCCTGCCTTGGCCTCCCAAAGTGCTGGGATTACAGGTGTGAGCCACCACACCCAACCACTTTCTATTTTTTTTGTATGTGGTTACCCTTGAAATTCTGCCCTCCATAATTAACTTTTAAAAGTGAGGTTAATCAATATCAATACATTTCCCCCAAATAATACGGAAGTGTTAGAATGCTTGAACGCTGATAATCTGCCTTCCATCTTACATGCTTTGTTATCTAGCATTATTCTTCTATCATTTTAACCCCACAAATTAGATAACTAATATATATGTCCCACTGTTTAGATTTATCTATGTTTACCATTTTCTCTGCTCACTATTCCTTCCTACATCTCAGACCCATCTTCTAAAATGAGTTTCCTTTTTTCCTGAATTACATTCTTTAGAAGTTCTTTTATTGGACGATTGCTGATAGAAAAATGTTTTTATCTGAGTATGTCTTGCTTTTACTCTAATTCTTGACAACAGTTTGAAAAGTCTGCTGTGGAACTCATTCATTTATAAGTGATCTATCTTCTCTCTAGTTAAGATCTTCTCCTCTCCTTTAGGATTCTGTAGTTTTTGTTGTTGTTGCTTTAGACAGTCTTGCTGTTGCCCAGGCTGGAGTGCAGTGGCATGATCTCGGCTCATTGCAACCTCTGCCTCCCAGGTTCAAGCGATTCTCCTGCCTCAGCCTCCCGAATAGCTTGGACTACAGGCACACACCACCATGCCCAGCTAATTTTTGTATTTTTAATAGAGATGGGGTTTCACCATGTTGGCCAGGCTGGTCTCAAACTCCTGACCTCAGGTGATCCACCCGCCTCAGCCTCCCCAAATGCTGGGATTACAGGTGTGAGCCACCGAGCCTAACTGGGTTCTGTAGCTCCAGTATGAGGTGTCTAGGAATGGATTATTATCTTGCTTGCTTGTTGTACTTTCTGGATCTGAGGATTTACATATCTCATTTATGGAAAATTCTCAGACATGTTTTTCCTACACTGTCTTTCCCTCATGCTCTTTCTAGAACTATTTAGGTTTACTGGATATGTTGGGCTAACTCATATGAAACTGCAATTTTACAGATAAAAATTCATCGAATATTGGCAATCTCACCTGGTTCAACCTAAAGACCTTTTATAAGTATTCTCTGCCTATCAATTCTTCTTTCATATTTTCCATTTTCTTTCTGAGATCCTTTCTGTGTACTCTTTGACTCTCTCTTGTACCTCACTATTTCTTCAGCTGCCTCAAATTGCTGTTAAGCACATCTTTTGGGTTTGTAATTTCAATGACTTTAAAATATTTGATAGTGCCTTCTTCCTTACTCACGTTTAAGTCCATCTTTTATCTCTTGAAAGATTTTATATATAACTATTTAACAGTCAATATTCAATAGTGCAGTATCTACAGTCCTTTATGGGTCTAAATCTCACACTTTGGTTCTGGTGACTCAAACTTTTGGTGGTTTACTTGTGTGATTGCTAACATTTTGAGGACAGGGAGCCTGATTTAATCTGTGGAAATCTGAGGGACCTAGGTTTAGACAGTTTCATCCATGGAGAATTTGCATTTGTTTTTGTTGGGTGTCAAAGAACACAAATTACCTGCACCTTTTTTTTTTTTTTTGAGACAGAGTTTCTGTCACCCAGGCTGGAGTGCAATGGTGCAATCTTGGCTCACCGTAACCTCCGCCTCCCAGGTTGAAGCGATTCTTCTGCCTCAGCCTCCCGAGTAGTTGGGATTACAGGCATGAGCCA
Source organism: Homo sapiens (assembly GCF_000001405.40). Lineage (NCBI taxonomy): Eukaryota > Metazoa > Chordata > Mammalia > Primates > Hominidae > Homo > Homo sapiens. Next base: position 15,636,304 of record NC_000006.12, read on the forward strand.
CCACGCCCAGCTAATTTTTGTATTTTTATTAGAGATGGGGTTTCACCATGTTGGCCAGGCTAGTCTCAAACTCCCGACCTCAGGTAATCCACCCACCTTGGCCTCCCAAAGTGCTGGGATTACAGGTGTGAGCCACCGTGCCCAGCCAACTCTTTCATTTCTTAACTTAGAGGTTCTTTGATCAGGCAGGAAATATAACTTAGAACCCCATACTCCTATGAGGCCAATACCATGGTAACAAATCAAGAAACGAGGCTATGCCAACTTCTTAGGAAGCCAGACAGGTTTCCTTGTTGACTCCTTTAGCCAACAGGTACATTTTTTTTCCCCCTAGCTTAAGCTTTCACCAGGGGGATGTAGCCACCTCAAAGTCCAAAGAGCTTTATCAAAAGTCTCAGATTCAGATCCCCACAGACAAAGTCTCCTATTCCCACAAATCTCCAAAGCTTTTGTTTTAGTATTTTGATCCCGACTTCCATGTTTTGTTTTGTTTTGTTTTAATGACTCTGATTTCAGTTCCCTGTTCTGTTTTGTTGTGTTGTTGTTGTTGTTGGCCCTTTATGTTTCCCTTAATTTTTGTGGGCTTAATGTATCTTAAAGAACTTTTAAAAAATATATCCAACATTTAAGTGTTTTATAGCTGTAGGGCTTTTCAAAGTATCTATTCTGCCTTACTACCAGAAACCTACATTTTCTTCTTATCAGTAAGTTCTAAGAGAAATGCTAGTGTCTACATTTCATCATATATATTCCTGTGTTGTATATAACTATTACAGCTTCATTAATTTAGGTAAATGGTAAAGAAAATCAGTCTAAATTTATTTAAAGTCAGAATTACAGAAATCATTTCAGAAAAAAATAAGGTTTGATTGACATCAACAACATTGAGGAGAGTATTCGATTTTGGCTATGTACATTTACCAAGTCATTTAAATTACAAGACACTAGTGCTTAAAAATACTTTGTTCTTCTAAGTGAACTGAGGATGACCCCTGAAATTTTTGTATTTATTTGTTAGGCAAATTAATAATTTTGGATAGACTGAGCAAAGTTAAGTTTTTTTGACCAAATAATAAGGAATTCTTAAATAGTGTAGAAAGAGATGTCTTATATAGGGTATAAAGAGATGTCTTATAATTTACATATATTGCAAATTCATCAGACTAAAATTCAGAGCATTATATCTACATAAAACAAGTATTTACCTGTCCTTAGAATAAAAGTTATAAACTCTCTTGCTCAACTAAACTAAATTACTTGACAGAGAAATGATAAAAAGGTGCTTTATTCAGGGAGTTTCATAATCAACGACTAGATTCAATTTCAGATATCCTGCAAAACATTTTGACACAAACAATTATAAATTCAATTTTTAAAAAATACCATTTAGCACTGAAAAAGGAAAGTTTGCCACGAGTATAAGATTAGTCAATTCTTTACCTCTCCAGCACTTGCACAGTCTTTGGCTCTTCTGTGAAGTGCAGCCCATGTATCCTCATACCTAAAAAAAAGCAAAAAATAATTTGAAATGCAAACCACACATTAAAAGGAAATACTATCTAAAGATGAATGTGGAATATCCTGTGGTGCTAGAAAGGAAACACTCAAAAAATAATGGGGACATGTTGCAAGGACACAGACGTCAACTTGACAGAGCTTCCAGTGGCCAAATCTGTGACAATTTGAGCAACAAAATACATAATGGTAGTAACAGATTATAACTCAAAGAATACAATATCCCTGAGTCCATGGTGATGTAAATAATTGAATAAATAAATCAATGAGAGAGAAGAGAAAAACTCTTCCTTATAATAGAAATCCAATTAGTAATTTTTTTTTTTTGAGATGGAGTTTCACTCTGTCACCCAGGCTGGAGTGCAGTGGTGCGATCTCGACTCACTGCAACCTCCACCTCCCAAGTTCAAGCAAGTCTCCTGTCTCAGCCTCCCGAGTAGCTGGGATTACAGGTGTGTGCCACCACGCCCTGCTAATTTTTGTATTTTTAGTAGAGATGGGGTTTCACCACATTGGCCAGGCTGGTCTCGAACTCCTGATCCACCCACCTCGGCCTCCCAAAGTGCTGGGATTACAGGCATGAGCCACTGTGCCTGGCCCCAATTAGTAATTTTAAAAGAAATGATGAGAAAAAAAATCTCCAATTGGTAAACACAATAGTAATAATTGTTTTAAAAAGAATTTTAATGGATGATACAACTAGTGGGTAAAAGCACAAAAAGAAACAGGATATTTACACAGCCTCAAAGTATCTGCCCATTGGATAATCATTAACTAAAAGTGAGAAAACAGTGTTAACTGAGGACAAACCTGGCAGACACATCCTTAATAAAGTGATCAAAATTAATGTCAACAGTAATGAGACACATCAACATTATGTGCCTCCTGATGTGATGCACTGGGAAGGATATAACATTACTCTTCTGGTATTCTTACCAAAAAAGTACTAACTTACAGTTAATTACAAGGAAATAGAAAAATCCAAATTCATAGACATTTTGAAACATAATTGGCCAGTACTTTTTTTTTTTTTTTTTGAGACAGGGTCTCACTCTGTCACGCGGGCTGGAGTGGTGTGATCACAGCTCACTGCAGCCTCAACCTCTTGGACTCAAGTGATCCACCCACCTCAGCCTCCCAAAGTGCTGAAATTACAGACATGAGCCACGATGCCCAGCCTTGGCCAGTACTCTTCGAAAGTACTGAGGTCATGAAAGACAAAGACTAAAGAATTGTTCAATGTTAAAGAAGGTAAGGGAGACATTGTGACTAAATATGATGTGTGATCCTGGATTGGATCCTAGTACAGAAAAAAGGACACTGGTGGAATAATTGATGGAATCTGAATAAGGCCTATGGATTAAGGTATTTACTAATGTTAATTTTCTGGTTTGATCATTGTACTGTGGTTATATGAAATGCTAACACTGGGAAAGCTGAAATTGCTTGTTCTATTTTTGCAATTTTTTTGTAAATCTGAAATTATTTCAAAATGAGAAGTTAAAAAATAAAACTTCTAAACTACTATTCATTTGATTGCTGATGTAAAACCTGATTTCCCAATCTAAAATTCTAGCTATCCAGCGAATATTTCTCCAAACAGGAATACATATTTAATGAGTTCATACTGCCTCCCCTCATAGTCAGATTCACAATTTTTCTACTGAATTTAAGTAAGAAAATCAATCTGAATAATCCAGGTGATACTAGAGTCCACATGTGATGAAAATTAAGGTGGAAGGTCACACAAATAATACAGTCCTGCTGTCATTGTTGACTAACAGAAAGCTAGAAAATTTTCTTGGATGTATCAGATTATGTAAGCATCAATTAAAATCAACAAGTATTTACTAAATGCTAAGCACTGTTAGGCACCAGAACTGCTGAGATATAAATTTTACTTTTGCATCTTTGTTATCCTGGTAGTTAGCACAGAACCTAACAAACAAGAGACACATTAAATGTCTGTTGAGTGAGGAAATAGACTAATTATAAATTGAAAATTCAGGACTTCGTGGTAAAATTTTCTATCATTTTCTTAACTCAGTGGGAAAGAGAAAATTAATCCTCACTTGCCAAATTTAGACTCCAGATCACTTTTCCTAACATCTCACCATTTCCTTTTCTCCCCGTTATTATGTATGCTTTTCACATCCACCTTGCCATTATACATCACCCTCCCTCATTTCTACTTTCCTAGTTCAGCACCTAGTTCATTCATGATTTTCCTACTGTTTTCAGCATTCTCTAAACCTAGACTATCGCAACCATTCATATTCTCTGCTCTACTTTTACGACATGAAGCAGTTTGGAGAAAGGCACTAAATCCATTACAATGTATGCTATCCAACCTCGCATGGGCCTTAGCTGCCAATCAGCACTTAAAAAAAATTTATTGCTATTAGATTGTTCCCTGAAGTACACACAGCAGGTATTACACATCTCATGCCGCCTTGAAACTCATCCCCATCCAATCACTTTCAACAGATGGATGAACTTACTCCATTTTACTGAGATAAAGACACTGGATGTAAACTCCTTCAATTTTTCTGTGTTCAAACTCAAACGTCTTTAAAAATCACAAGTCAATGATGATGAAATGAAGAAGCCACATTCATAATGTGTAATTCTTGCATTCAAATCGTTATTGAATATATTCTATGTATACCATGGGAAGACTAGTGGAAGTGTTCACAATACAGTTAGGAAGATGAACACACAGGTAAATAATTACCTTACTTGGTAGACAAAGGAAAGGACTAATTATATAGCATTAGAGCTATAGGAATATAGGAAAGTAACTGTAGACTGTGTTGTACTACACTCTTTGAAACATTATGATTTAGGAAATAGAGAGAAGATGTCAGAGTAAGAGGCATCTAGAATCTGTCACCCTACCTAGACCACAATCACATTGGCAGAATCTGTCTGATGTAACTATTTTGGGACTCTAGAATCTATTAAAGGCTTGCAGCTTCCAGGGGAAGGTTTGGAGGGTAAACTGAGGTTCATTTCAGTCGACTTCAGGTTTTAGCACAATGACAGCTACCCATCCACCACCCCAACCCCTGGACAGGTAGCCATGCACTTGTTCCTGAAGTAGCTTGTACACGGCTTATGAAAGTCAAGGTGGGCCAATAAGGACCCTGTGCTCCAAACATCAGGGAGTCTGTGCTCTGATCACAATTGCTGCTTCTAATCAGGGAGATGCAGACACAGAGGCAGCTACTGTTGCAAACCCCTCCTGCTATGGCTAGCAATTTTCAGAGGATTTAAAAGGCCAGCGTCTGGTTTTGTCCCCTTTCTTTGTTCCCCTTTCCCTCTTGGAGAGCCAGACACTTAAAGACTAGGACATTCAATAACAGATGCAATTGTTTTTTGTTTTGTGGTGTGTGTGCGTGTTTTTGTTTTTGTTTTTGTCCCAAGATGGCTTACTAGGAATATCAAAAGCCAGTTTTTCTCAAAAAATAGATCAAAGTTACTGGTGAGTGGACAAATTCTAGACAGAAAACTGAGGGAAGGGAGCCAGGACCTGTCAGAGTGCCCAAGGGAAGAAGCTGGGGTGCAGAAAAGGAAAGCAGCAAGACTCTGGCAGAGATTGACCCTCAAGGACCTTGGAGCCCTGTGGAAAGGGTAGGTGGGAGTAGTTCTCTGCTCCCCTTACCCCTCCAACAATCTCCTGACCATCAAACTGTTGGAGAGTGCTCCTCTGCCCTTGTGACCCAAAGCAATACTATTGATGGTGACTTGAAAACCTCCTGGGGCTGGAGAATCTGGTGGCCAACTCGTGTGTACATGCGTGTCCACACTCCTCTCAGGTGCCAGATACCATACTTGTCGTGCGCCAGCAGTGGGATGCTGCCCTGCCCAGGGATTCTCTGCCCTTGAGTCACCACACCACCAGATTCCCTGCAAACACACCTCACAGACCACTCTAACTTTGGCAAGCACAGGGAACCAGCAGTTCCCCAGGTAACTGTGAGATCTCTGGAGATCTAACCCCCTGCGTGGGCCATCCCTAAGTGGAAGAGAGTGCAGCCCATCAAAAGCACACCTTGGGACAAAGGAAATGCAGGCACAGTGCCAACTGCTACAAGAGGAAGTATCATTACCCAGGAATGGATGTGGGGAAGGGGTCATCTCCTGCATCCCCCTACACTGTTGCTGATGCAGCAGTGTTCTCTCTGCCAGGGGCCAGCACATGCACTCGGACACACAGCGTATTTCATGCATCTTGTAGCGGCTCCACCTCTACTGAAAGTGAGCCCTGCACAGCTCAAGCTTTCAGGAAGGGTAGGGCCCAACTCCCCTTCCCTACACAGAGCAGCAACACCCCAGCAAGGGAAGACAAGTTGCAGAGTTGTCTGCTCCCATCTGGAGGAAGAGACTCTCCCTGAGCCCATTTTGGTGGCAGCCCTCAGAGGAGTGTACCCGCAACCCGCAGCCAGGAACCAAAGGACAAAATCTTTATGAAATGAAGGTTGGGAGCCTTGTGACAGGGGCATGATAGGAAGTGGATCACGTTCCTGCCAGCACAGAATGAGGAGTGGGTGTACCCACCCACCTTCTCCCCCAAGACCTCAGCACACCCCACAGGATCTCTTCCCGCCACCATCCCCTGCCCACTCAGGGCAGGTGCTTCCACCCAACGCCAGCCTACCTGCCGGCTCTTACTCTTAAATGCCATCTACTGGACTGCAGCCTGAACTGCATCACCAAATAAAAATCTGCTAAAAAAGGGCTTAGTGCTAGGCAGTCCACAAGATGAGCCCCCTGGGATCTCCACACCCTCAGCTCCACAGGAGACAAGGTGTTAGGTGTCAGTTCTTAGAGCCAATACATCACTACAGTAAGCAGCATCTGAGAAAGTCACTACACAGAAGCTATCCATAACCAAGGACCCCATATAGCATTTGGCTCTGTGGAAGCACCCAGAAACAAAGGCAAATGATAATACACAACATATACCACAGCCATACCCTTAAGGAAAAAAAAGTCACATCCAAATGATGGCAAATTCAAAATAAAAAGAGACAGCTTCCTCAAATGAGAAGGAATCAATGCAAGAACTCTGGCAGTACAAAAAGCCAGGGTGTTCTGGCATCTCAAAGGATCACATTAGCTCTCTAGCAATGGATCCTAACCAAACTGAAATGTATAGGATGACCAATAAAGAATAAAAAATACGTATTGCAACTAAACTCAACAAGATCCAGGAAAAAAGTTGAAATCCAATACAAAGAAACCAGAAAACTGATTCAGCACATGATAGACAAGATAGCTATATTACGAGAGAAACAAATAGAACTGCTTGAATTCTAAAATTTACTAAAGGAATTTTAAAATATAGTTAATAGGCTAGACAAAGCAGAAGAATTACAGAGCTTGTAGACCAGTCATTCAAATTAACCAAGTCAGACAAAAATAAAGAAAACTGAATTTTTAAAAAATGAACAAAGCCTTCAAGAAATATGGGATTATGTAAAGCAAACAAACCTTTCACTTACTAGCATTCCTGAGAGAAGAAAAAGTAAGGAACTTGGAAAACATATTTGAGGGAATAATCCAGGAAAATTTCTCCAATCTTGCTAGAGAAGCTGAAATCTAGAATCAAGAAATTCAGAGACTCCTGAGAGATACCATATAAGATGACATCCCCGAGACAAACAGTCATCAGACTAAGGTCAACATGAAAGCAAAAATCATAAAGGCAGCTAGAGAAAAGGGCCAAATTACCCATAGAGGAAAACCCATCAGGCTAACAGTGGACTTCTCAGCCGAAGCTTTACAGTCAGAAGAGACTGGGGGCCTATTTTTAGCCTCCTTAAAAAAAAAATTGCTGGCCAAGAATTTTATATCCTGTTCATCTAAGCTTCATAAACAAAGAAGAAATGAAATCTTTCCCAGACAAGCAAACACAAAGGGAATTTATCACCATCAGACTGGACCTACAGGAAATGCTCAAAGGAGTTCTAAACATGGAAATGAAAGAATGATACCTGCTACCATAAAAGCACACATAAGTACAAAACTCAGACCCTATAAAGCAATCGCACAATAAAGACCACAAAGCAACTAGCTAACAACACTATCAAAGGAATAAAACTTCACATATCAATATTAACCTTGAAAGGAAACAGCCTAAATCCTCCACTTAAAAGATACACAGTGGCAAGTTGGATTAAAAAAACAAGACCCAACCTCTGCTACCTTCAAGAGACCTATCTCACATGTAATGACACCCATAGGCTCAAAATAAAGGGATGGAGAAAGATCTTTCATGCAAATGGAAACCAAAAGAGAACAGAGGTTGCTACTCTTGTATCAGATAAAACAAACTTTAAACCAAGAACAGTTAAAAAAAAAAAAAAAGACAAAGAAGGGTACAACATAATGATAAAGAGCTCAATTCAATAAGAAGATATCGTATCCTAAATATATATGTACCCAACATCACAAGACCCAGATTTAGAAACTACTACTAGAACCGAAAAAGAGAGATAGCCATAAAATAACAGTGGGGGACTTCAACACCCCACCAGCAGCACTAGACAGATCATGGCACAAAACTAACAAAGGTTTGGACATAAATTAGACTCTCAACCTAATGGACCTAATGGACATCTACAGGATACTCCACCTAACTACCACAGAATATACATTCTTCTCATCTGTGCATCGAACAGTCTCTAAAATTGACCACATGCTCAATCATAAAGCAGGTCTCAATAAATTCAAAACAATCAAAATCATATCAAGCATCTTCTCAGACCACAGTGGAATAAAATCAAAATAAATACCAAGAGGAACCCTAAGAATCACACAAGTATATGGAAACTAAACAACCTGCTCCTGAATGACTTTTGGGTAAACAATGAAATTAAGGCAGAGATAAAAAAAAATTAATTGAATCAAATGAAAATAAAGACACAACATACCAAAACCTCTGAGATACAGAAAAAGCAGTATTAAGAAGAAAATTTACAGTGCTCCATGACTACACCAAAACACACAAAGATCTCAAATTAACAACTTAACACCACACTTTTAAGAACTAGAAAGGCAAGAACAAACTAAACCCAAAGCTAACAGAAGAAATAATTATGATCAGAGCAGAACTAAATGAAATTGAGACCAAAAAAAAACCATACAAAGTATCAACAACACAAAAAGTTAGATATTTGAAAAGATAAACAAGATTGACAGACTGCTGGCTAGATTAACCAAGAAAAAAAGAAAAGAGATTCAAATAAGCACTATCAGAAATGACAAAAGTGACATCATAACTGACACCACAGAAAGACAAAAGATCATCAGAGACTACTAAGAACATCTCTATGTGCACAAATTAGAAGACCTAGAGGAAATGGATTAATTCCTAGAAACACATCACCTTCCAGACTGAACCAGAAAGAAATTGAAATTCTGAACAGACCAATAACAAGTTACGAAATTCAATCAGTAATAATAATAATAAAAAAAATCTACCAACCAAAAAAAGCCCTAGACCAGATGGATTTACAGCTAAATTCCACCAGATGTACAAAGAACTGGTACCAATCTTACTGAAACTATTCCAAAAAATTGAAGAGAGGAGATTTCTCCTTCACCTCATTCTATGCAACTAGTATTATCCTGATTCCAAAACCTAGCAATGACATAACAAAAAAAGAAAACTACAGGTCAACATTACTGATAAACATAGACACAAAAATCCTCAACAAAATGCTATCAAACTAAATCCAACAGCACATCAAAGAGATAGTTCACCATGATCAAGTGGGTTTAACCCTTGGATGCAAGGACGGTTCAACAAACACAAATCAATGAATGTGATTTACCACATAAACAGAGTTAAAAGCAAAAATAACATAATCTTCTCAAAAGACACAGAAAAGGCATTCGATAAAATTCAATATCCCTTCATAACGAAAATCCTCAACAAACAAGGCATCAAAGGAACATACCTGAAAATACTAAGAGCCATATATGACAAACCCACAGTCAACACAATACTGAATGGGCAATAGTTGAAAGCATTCTCCCTAAGAACTGGAACAAGACAAGGATGTCCACTCTCACCACTCCTATTCAACATAATACTGGAAGTCCTAGCTGGAGCAATCAAGCATGAGAAAGAAATATAAGGTACCCAAATAGGAAAAGATGAAGACAAATTAATTATCTCTGTTTGCTGACAACATGATTACATACCCAGAAAACCCTAAAGAATCCTCCAAAAGACTCATAGACCTGATAAACAACTTCAGTAACTTTTCAACATACAAAAGCAATGTACAAAACTCCACAGCATCAACTCATTTGAGAAACTAAAAAATAAAAATTAAAAAATAAATAAAAATAAAATCTGCAGCATTTTTATACACCAACAACATTCAATCTGAGAACCAAATCAAGAACTCAATCTCATTTACAATAGACACACACACACACACACACACACACACATATACAATACCTAGTATATATAACCAAGGAAGTGAAAGATCTCTACAAAGAGAACTGTAAAACACTGATGAAAGAAATCATAGATGACACGAATGGAAAAACATTCCATGCTCATGGATTAGAAGAATCAATAACATTAAAATAACCACATTGCCCAAAGCAATCTACAGATTCAGTGCAATTCCCATCAAATTACCAATGCCATTTTCCCCAAAATCAGAAAAAAAAAATCTAAAATTCATATGGAATCAAAAAAAGAGCCTGAATAGCCAAAGCAATCCAAAGCAAAAAGAACAAATCTAGAAGCATCACATTACCTGACTTCAAACCATACTACAAGGCTACAGTAACCAAAACATCATAGTACTAGTATAAAAATAGACACACAGATCAATGGAACAGGATAGAGAATCCAGAAATAAAGTCACACAGCTACAACTAACTGATCTTCAGCAACGTCAACAAAAATAAACAATGGGGAAAGGACACCCTATTCAATAAATGGTGCGAGGAAAACTGGCTAGCCATTTATGGATGAACAAAACTGGACCCCTACCTCTTACCATATACAAAAATTAGCTCAAGATTAAAGACTTACATGTAAGACCTCAAACTATAAAAACCCTAGAAGAAAACCTAGAAAAAAACCCTTTTGGGCACTGGCCTAAGCAAATAATTTATGACTAAGACATCAAAAACAATTGTGACAAAAAATGACAAATGGGACTTAAACTAAAGAGCTTCTGCGTAGCAAAAGAAACAACACAATAAACAGACAACCTACAGAATGAGAGAAAGTTTTTGCAAACTATGCATCCATCAAAAGACTAATATCCAGAATCTATAAGGAACTTAAACAAATGAACAAGAAAAAACAACCCCATTAAAAAGTGAGCAAAGGATATGAATAGACTCTTCTCAAATGAAGACATATAAGAAGCCAACAAAGATGAAAAAAATGCTCAGCATCACTAATCATCAGAGCAATGCAAATTAAAACCAAATGAGATACATACAATCTCATGCCAGTCAGATGTGAAAAATGATACATGAACAAAATGGTAACATCAATACCACTACCGTTTATATCTACCAATGGTAGATATAAAACAGAAAGGAACCAATAAGAAATTCTGGAGATTAAAAGTATAATAACTGAAATGAATAATTCACTGGAGGAGTTCAAAAGCACATTTGAGAAGAAAGAATCAACATGATTGAAGATAAACCAATTTAAATTATCAAAATTAACAAATGTTTACCTAGATTGACTAAGAAAAAAAAAAAGACTCAAGTTACTAAAACCATAATGAAGTGGGACTATTACTACGAATCTTACAGAAATAAAAAGGATTATGAGAGAGTGCTATGAACAATGTATGCTAACAAACTGTATAACCTAGCTGAAGTGGACAAATTCCCACAAACACAAAACATACCAAGACTGAATCCTGAAGAAATGGGAAACTGAATCAGTAATAAAAAACCTCAAGATGAAATACCCTGGACTTGATTGCTTCACTGGTGAATTCTACCAAACATTTAAAAAAGAACCAACATTGACCATTCTCAAAATCTTTTTAAAAAGAAAATGAAGAGGAAGGAATAAATCCTAACTCATTCTACAAGCCAGCATTACCCTGATACCAAAGCCAAAGGCATACAAGAAAAGGAAACTACAGACCAATACCCCTTATGAATACTAATGCAAAAATCCTCAACAAAATACTGGCAAACTAAATTCTGCACTGTGTTAAAAGCATTATACACAATTTCCAAGAGGGATTTATTCCTGGAATGCAAGAATGGCTCAACATATGAAAATCTGTCAATGTAATAATATGACAGATTGGTAGAACGAAAGGAAAAAACACATGGTCATCCTAATTCATGGAGAAAAGTTATTTGACAAAATTCAACATCCTTTCATGATAAAAACACTAAAGTAGAAGGGAACAATCTCAACATAATAAAAATTCATAGTTGACATTATACTCAATGTTGAAAGACTGAAAGCTTTTCCTGTAAGATCAGGATCAAGACAAGGAACAAGACAAGGATGCCTGCTTTTTCCACTTCGATTCAACACAGTACTGGATGGTCTAGCCAGAGCAATTAGGCAAGAAAAAAGAAATAAAAGGTATTCAAATTGGAATGAATGAAGCAAAATGATTTCTATTCATAAATGATATGATCTTATATGCAGAAAACCCTGAAAGTTCCACACAAAAAACTATCAGGATAAAGGAACTCAGCAAAGTATGATATTAAATCAACACACAACAATTAAGTCAGTTGTTTCTATATACTACCAATAAATAATTCAAAAAAAGCAATTAAGAAAACAATTTCATAAATGATAGCATCAAAAAATACTTAGGAATTAACAAAGATGATGAAAGACTCATACAATGAAAACTACTAAACAATACTGAAAGAAATTAAAGAAGACATCAATAAATAGAAAAAGCACTCCATGTTAATGGATTGGAATACTTAACATTGTTATCTGTAATAAGCAAAATGACCAGATTCAATTTAATCCCAATCAAAACCCCAATGACATTCTTTGCAAACAATAGAAAATACATCTTAAAATTCATATGAAATCTCAAATGACCTTCAACAGCCAAAACAATCTTGACAAGAAAAACTCTTAGAAGAAAACACAGGGGAAAATCCTCATACTCATTAGAGTAGCTATAATAAAAAACAAGAAAATAGCGAGCGTTGGTGAGGATAGGAAGAAATTAGAACCTTTATACAATACTGATGGGAAAGTAAAATGATACAGTCACTATGGAAAACAGTATGGTGTTTCCAGAAAGAATAAAACACAGAATTACCGTATGATCCAGTAATTCTACTGCTGGGTATATACCCAAAGGAACTGAAAGCAAGGTGTCAAAAAGGTACTTGTCACTCATGTTCCTAGCAGCAAGCAGTATTTAGAACAGCCAAAAAGTGGAAGCAACTCAAGTGTCCATCAACAGATGAATAAACAAAATATGGTACATACTTACAATAGAATATTCAGCTTTTCAAAGAAAGAAAATTCTGACACATGCTGCAACATAAACTTTGAAAACATTATGCTAAATGAAATAAGCCGGTCACACACAAAAGTACTTTATAATTGCACTTATATGATGTTCCTAGAATAGTCAAATTCACAGAGAAAGCAAATAGAATGATGGTTGCCTGGGATGGAGAGGAGGGAGTAGAAATGAGAGTTGTTGGTTAACAGGTACAGAGTTTCCATTTTGCAAGATGAAAAGAGTTTTTGGGATTGGATGCACAACCATGTGAACGTACTCAGCACTACTAAGCTTAAGAATGGTTAAGATACATTTTATGCTATGTATATTACATTTTTAAAATTAAAAATATGATTTAAACATTTGCTATTTAAAATGGTCTTTCTCACATTCAATTTTAGTTCCAATGGGAAAAGACTGTTTCAGTGCGATGTATAAACACATTATTGACACCGTCTTACGGATGTAAATTTTCTATATTAACTCCTAAAATGCAACCCTATCCCCAAAAAATGTACCACACAAAAAGTTGATAGCTCTAACATAAATTTTTCAGTAAAATGAAGTTATTTCAACTAAGTTTCTAGAGAAAAAATAAAGATAAAATGTAAATAGTAAACAATACATTACTGATTAATTTGTACTACACTTCCTTTCATGTTCATTTCTGTTCTTCACACAACAAAACAAAGGAAGCAAATATCATATTAAGCACTTTTCACTTCAGAGAAGAAAAATCTCTAGATTTAGCAACCATAAAAAGAAACCTAATGAAGAACTAGAAAGGAGAAAGGAAAATGTAGGTATCAGTGATTGTGTCATAACAAATACAGATAAGGAAAAGCAGCATACCCTCTCCCACATACATCTTTACCACACATCTGTCAAATGGCACATTAGTAAGCACAGAAATATGTATAATGACATACTTTAACCATATACTGTATTTATTTATTTATTTTTTGAGATGGAGTTTCGCTCTTGTTGCCCAGGCTGGAGTGCACTGGCACGATCTCGGCTCACCGCAACCCCTGCCGAGATCGCACCATTGCACTCCAGTGATTTTCCTGCCTCAGCCCCGAGTAGCTAGGATTGCAGGCATGCACCACCAGGCCCAGCTAATTTTTGTATTTTTAGTAAGAGACAGGGTTTCACCAAGTTGGCCAGGCTGGTCTCAAACTCCTGACCTCAAGTGATCTGCCTGCCTCAGCCTCCCAAAGTGCTGGGATTATAGGTATGAGCCACCGCGACCGGCCTCATTGTGGTTTTGATTTGCGTTTCCCTGAAGACTGACAACGTTGAGCATCTTTTCATGTGCTTATCGGTCGTTTGCATATCTTCTTTTGAGAAATGTCTATTCAACTCTTTTGCCTATTTCTTCATGGGGTTGTCTTTTTATTGTTAAGTTTTAAAAGTTCTTTATATATTCTGGATACATGTTGTTCCTCATATATATGATCTGCAAATATTTTCTCACATTCTATGTTTTGTCACTCCACTATCTTGATGGTGTTCTCTGACACACAAAAGTATTTGATTTTGACCAAGTCCATTGTGTCTAATTTTTATCTTGTTGTTTGTGCTTTTGATGTTATATCTAAAAAGACCATACATTTTAATATTAAACTCCATGTCAATAAAAGAATGGATTGGAAAAGAAATGACATAAGAATCAAAGCAAAAAAACAAAATTATTGGGGACTCAAATCCAGAATCAATTTTCTTGTAATAAAGAAGCCGTACATATTATCATAAAGTATTGACTTGTAAATACAATAGTGATCTGTCTGCTCAAAGTTTGAATGGACTTTGTACTAATGAGTGAAAAGTGAAAGCCCTCAAGGAAAATAATACATAAATAATTTCCAATCACTGCATTAAGATAAAATTTAGCTGTTTTAAGGCTTTTAACCTACAAAATTAAAAGATATTTTTGGTCAGTAAAAAAGTCAGAAGTATAACCTTCCTCTACAAATGAAACACTTACCTGCTAAGTAATTCTAATCCAGCAGAGTACTTTGGCAAAAATGGAACAGTCCTGCCCAAAAGAAACACTTATTAAAACTGTTCTTGATTTAGCCAACTGAAAAAAAAAAAAAGGTACATACAAGAATTTTGACATTGTCAATTGTAATATATTTTAAAATCACTAATGACAATTATTAAACTTTTAGAGAAATGTGTTTTATTTCAGAGTTAATGTACTGTATGTAACACACTATCAACCATCATTTTGCCCCAGAGATTCTCTTCAGCATACAATAAATTATTTAATATAATGTTGGATAAGAACAAATATGTAAGATCACAGTTCATTTCTAGGTTGAAAATGAAATCTGGTCACATGCTTTACTTTATTAAAAAAATGGACAAACAGCACAATCCTGGTGTTTTCATACAAAACAGGTAACATAGCTGAAGAGGCTCATTTGCCAAGTAGTATTTCATCATTAATTTGCTTTTCAATAATTCAGGACTTTTACTTTTGCTCTTATACAAATTAAAAATGACTAATTGTGATCAAATAATACTCATTGACTGTCAGAGTAAAACAATTATACTTCACCATTTTTTCAACCATTTCACGATTTTATTAGAAAATTTTCCTGTTACAAAATTTAGAAAGAATCGATAAATTATTTTGTAGTCAGATGCACTCAACAAATCTAAGGTTCATTAATATAACTACACAATTGTGAATACACCAAAAGTTGTATGAAATTTAAGTCACAGTTAAGTTAAAATCTTAGCACAAGCTTACCTGGGTTTGCTTTTCACTTTTGCTTCTCTTGACTTGTCACTTAAAGTCTTCAGCCTATAATTCAATATAAAATATAATATTTTTACAAGTCAAGAGATTATTATTATTTTTTTGAGACAGGGTCTCACTCTGTCGTCCAGGCTGGAGTGCAGTGACATGTACATTACTCACTGCAGCCTCAATCCTGGGCCCAAGTGATCCTCCCACCTCATCCTCCTGAGTAGCTGGGACTATAGTCACCCGCCACCACGCCTGGGTAATTTCTTTTTTTATTTAGTGGAGACGGAGTCTTGCTATGTTGCCCAAGCTGGTCTCATACCCCATGCCTCAAATGATCCTCCTGCCTCAGCCTCCCAAAATGCTGGGATTACAGGCATGAGCCACCCCACCCAGCCCAGAGATTTTTCAACCACAAATTTTCACATGTTAAAATTTTAGGTCAGATAAGCTACTTTTTTTTTTTTAAGCAAGAATTAAGTACCTCAAAAGACAACAAATATTTGAGTGTTTACTATATGTTAGATACTACAAACGGAAAATCTGTAGCAAATTTTTTTTTAAGAGATGGTCTCACTCTGTTGCCCAGGCTAGAGTATAGTGGTGCGATTGTAGCTTACTGTAACCTCAAACTCTTGGGCTCAAGCAATCTTCCCACCTCAGCCTCCTGGGTAACAAGGATGACAGGTATGTGCCACCATGCCCAGCTATTTGTTTCACTTTTATTTTGGTCTCACTATGTTGCCCAGTCTGGTCTCTATCTCCTGGCCTCAAGTGATCTTCCCACCTCAGCCTCCCCATAGAGCTGGGATTATAGGTGTGTGCTACCACGCCAGGCCTTATTTTCATATTCTTACTTACCCCAAGCCCCTTTTTTAGAAACCAAGATTCCTAAATGTGATCAGACCACAAAAACATAATTTATCTGGCATCTTTAGAAAAAGTAATGTTCCACATAGGAGAAATCGATAGGTAACAAAGATATCTAAGCAGCACACTTCATTAAGTAGATGCTACCCAGGCCTTCAAATCTCTTTAAGCATCCACAGTATTTGAAATTTTAGTTGAGAAAAAGCTTTTTAAAATATATTACAAACTTCTTTCATTAAAGAGGATTTTGTATATCTCATTTAACATTTTGTGATGACTCAGGATCAGTATTAAGAATATCATTGACTACATTTTGCAGCAAAACAGTACTCTCCCCTGATACTTCTGAGCTAGAAATGCATCTTCATCTATTAACCTGAAACCAATCTATGGTAGTTTTGTGTTTGTTTGGGCTCTTATGTCTACCTTTCCTAAATTTTCTTTCTCTACCATTGGTCACCTGGATGTCAGCTCTCACTCACTGCTTCTGCCAGCTATTTAATTCTAGCAGTCTCCTCCCCTCTACTTGCTGCTTTTAAATTATTGCACTGGAAAACAGATAAATGGGCTAGAGCTGCATATATAGAATTAACAGACTCTTTTAATGTAAAATATGATGTTCATAAACTGTACAATTTATTTTCACTTCACTGGCCCAGTTTTACTTTATTTTGGCTGTGGACTCTGTTACAGATAACTGAGGTTGCCAATAAGTGAGTGCTACAGTATGCAGTAATATCACATAAAATGAGATATCATGTACACATTCTTCTCAATCACTTCAACAAGTACTCATTTGTAAATAGAAACTGAAAATATAGGCCACAGTACTACTGCTAGCCCCTACAAAGTCTTTGTAAAAACAGAAATAGCTGCTCCTTCCTCCAGACACTTTACTGCCATCAGCCAGAAACTGTCCTAATACACAAGTTGACTCTTGCATGAATGCCTCAACTAATGCATGGTACAGTATACAATCTGCACAACTATGCATGCTGGTTCTGAAACAGGATTCCATCTTTTCTGTCTATAACGTCTGATTAAGCACCATATGGGGACTTCTGATAAACTGCATTTTTTTAAAACCAAATTAGAATGCCAATGTCATACAAAGAGTTTCATATTACTCTATGATCTTTTTCAAAAAATAAAATATTGACAAGATCAATTCCTCTGCAATATTCAAAAGATTCAGCAATCTCTTTAATACAAAAGTAATTAGTATACCTCTCTAGATAAGTCTAGGAAATTGTGTAAAAGTCTAATATAAATTTCTCAGTTTATCCTGGAAACTAGTAAATCTGGTTTAAACCAAGATTAAGCAAAACCTAGGGAAAACAATTTTTATGGCCATGCTCTACCATTTCCACTATAAAGTTTGATCAAAATACTTAGTTGGAACATCTCAGGCAAAATTATCCTAGTTATATACAGCAGTGCCTCATACTCAAAATGATTCTCGCATTATTTTTAGTGATTCAGGAGAATTCTATACAGCTGAGTGTGAAAGGGAATTCCTAAGATCCTCTTTGGACTACTCTAATTATATGATCCAGCAAATCTCTAAGTTGGTATTTCAACTATTTATTTCTAAAACAAACTTTTACTTTCTTAATTGTAATATGCCAAGTTTGGAATTCTCTTCTCTGCCCCCCTACCCCATCTCCTCCCCGCCACCGACAAAAAGAAAAAACCGGTTTGAAATGAAAGGGAAAAAAGGAGTGTTACAGGGAACAGAAAGTAAAATTGTTGGAAGATTCAACAAAAGATTCCCCATGTGGCTCTTTAACAGTCATCTGTTTTAAAAATTGGTCTTTAACCAAATTTAATGTGTGAAACTTATCTGATCTGGATTTGAACAAACCAACTGTAAAAAGTCGTTTCTAAGAACAAAAGAAGTCTGATTATGGACTGCATAATTGATAATATCAAAGAATTAGTGTTAATTTTATTAGTTATGACATCAGCACTGCATTTATGTAATGTGTTTCCTTTTTAGTGATGCAAGCTGACATATCACAGGTATAGTAGGCAAGTCTGAGATTTACATTATAAATAAAGGGAGAGACAAGGCAAACGTGGCAGTATCTGAAAACTGTTGAATCTCAGCAATGGATATATGTGGTTCATTGTGTTATTCTATTTGTGTGTGTGTTTGAGACTTTGTAAAATACAATTTTTTTTTTGAGACAGGGTCTTGCTGTGTCACCCAGACTGGAGTGCAATGGAGCAATCATAGCTCACTGCAGCCTCAAGCTCCTGGCCTTAAGCGATCCTCCCACCTTAGCCTCTCAAGTAGCTGGGACTACAGGCTCACACCAGCACACCCAGCTAGTTTTTAAAAACCCTTTGTAGAGACAGGGGTCTCCCTATGTTGCCCAGGCTGGTCTTGAACTCATGGGCTCAAGCTATCCTCCCACCTCAGCCTCCCCAAGTGCTGGGATTAGAAGCATGAACCACCATATCCAGCCAAAAAACATTTTTAATAACAAAAACAATCTTTTAGGTATTCATCTTTTCTCACCACTTCTTCTCCAAATAAATGGCCAATGTGCCAAAATGCAGAAAAGAAACTGTTGGAGAAAACAAAGTAGCTATAGGAAAGTTGGAAATAGTCATCTTTTTCCCTGCTAAAAAATAAAAACAAAGTAAAAAACAAAGTAGCTATAGGAAAGTAAAACGAAGTTAAAAAAAAAAAAAAGTAAAAAAACAAAGTAGCCATAGGAAAGTTGAAAATAGTCATCTTTTTGCCTGCTAAACTTTCTTGATTGTTTCCAACTATTATTCTTAAGATGAAAAATATAAAAGATCAGATATACTTAAGAAAGTAACAAAAAGCCAAAAAGGTATTTTCTAAAATAACATCCTCAAAACCCAGAATTCACCTGAAATTAGCCCACTATTTTTATTTTAGGATAACTCCAGTTTCTCTGGAGAACTTATTCTGTCCTGGAAACAACCCACTTATAACGTCTGTTTAATGTCCTACAATATCATGACATGCTGTGAAGGAAATACTGACCTAGGGGGAATATTCCAGTTTCCTCAAATGTAAAATGGTAGTATTATACTCAACCATAAAGATTTGCCATGAGAATTGAATAAAATTCCAAATATGACCTTAATGGCATTCTGGAAACTACAGAGCTAATTTCAAATGAAAGTTATAATAAAGGTGATCCCCATCAAGAAAGCCGAGAAACCAATGTACTACATTACTGGGCTAAGGTGAAATAAAGCAGAGGTTCCCAATGTGCCTACAAAAGGCTTGCCCAGCCCTATTCTTGGTCTTCTCCCAAGTACCATACACCCCATGAACACATAAGTGCTGTGTGAGCATATTAATATATAGACTAAGTGAGCCATCTGACAACTATTTTCTACTAATGACAACTTTCAAGTTCAAAGCACTAAACCTCAAATTCGTCATAAAGTTCAATAATTTTATTTTTAGATAGCTCCAACGACTTCACCTTAATTTGACACCAGCATATTTATGTCTTTGAGCTTTGTAGAAAATACTAAAATGGGGGCTTCTTACTGAAAAAGGGGGGTGACTCACAAAACTGCTTAGACAAAAAGTGTAAAAGGATGTAAATAAGCCTGGGCAACATGGCGAAACCCTGTCTTCCAAATATACACAAATTAGCCAGGCGTGGTGGTGTATGCCTGTAGTCCCAGCTACTTGGAAGGCTGAGGTGGGTGGATTGCTTGAACCCAGGAGGTTGAGGCTGCAGTGAGCCATGAGCATACCACAGCACTGCAGCCTGGGTGACAGAGTGAGACCCTGTCTCAGAGAAAAAAAGAAAAGAAAAAGATGTAGATAAACAGAATGATGCATTGAGTACTACAATGACTGCTGAGATCTGCCGGTGATTCAACAGCGTGCGGAACCTGCATGACGTTTCATTTACTTGTAACTCAATTTCCAACTGTCTACATCATTGGCTATTAGGAAAGGTGAGGACGATTGCTTTAAAGCACCACAGAAATGTATGAATTAGCATATTTTGTCATAAGGCACATCCAATCTATTACATTTTCACATCAGTGTTCATCATTTTTTTTCTCTCTTAAGCGAGATCAGGGAAAAGCCAAAGCCTCAATCACACTTAAAAGTGCAAATGGCCTAAGGTACAAAGCCTAAGAAATTCACACAAAAGCTGCACAGACTCAGGAAAGAAAGATGAATTTAGACTATCTACATCCTAATGCCTTTATCCTAAGTCCCAAATACATGGCTTCAAGTTCTCACTTCTCACCTGAGCGCAAGAGAAATTTCCAATTGCTTCTCAGCTGTCAAGCAGCTAGCTCATCACAAATTCACTGTTAACTGTTCCTTCTCTCTCAAACCTATTGTTAAATTCTTTAATGCTGGTATATGACACCATTTATCTAAGATACTTCCAAATTCACATTCTCAATTTCTGCACCTTTTTCATCTCCCACTGCTGTCTAATCTGACCAGTGCCTAACACATCTATTCCCTCCTTTAAACTTCTATCAGCACTGCCTTATCTTCTCTCATCTGGACCTTCATTACAGCCTCCTAAATAATCTCCCTCTACCCCATCCCCTATCTTCCTATCACACAGCCTCTCAAGTTATTCTTCCAGAAACACAGAAATATTTTTCCAGAAATACAGGTAGGCCATCTTCTCCTTAGCCTGATTTTTAGCCACAGAACTTATGGCCGTCTAGATATTCTAGACAGTCTGCTACTAGAACGAGAGTAAGGATCTTACTTGCTATCTGGTTTGTTCTCTGCTATATCCCCAGTACCTAAAATAGTGCCTGCCACATAGTAAGCACTCAATAAATATTTGACAAATTAATTAAGCAAAGCATTGAAGATATTCTATTATTAGGCACTAAACTTCCTTTCCAGCTTCATCTCCCAGGACTGCTTCCATCTCTGAAATGTGCTTATCCAAATCTATCGCAATTTCTCCTCATTATTCAAGGCCTAGTTTTAGAAACCCCTTCCTCTTTGAAGCCTTCTGTAAATGCATCCTAACTAATGACTCTTTCTTCGGACTCACATACCACACTATTTGTATCTTTAACATTCTGTTCATTCTGCTTTGCTTTATATCAGCACCAGTCTAGGGCATCTGGTGGACAGAGACTGTTTTAGACACCTTTGTACCTGCAGGATCTGGCCCAATATATAGACATTGTTTAGGAAAGACTAGGCAAACCTGAGCATATGGGCTCTCAAATCTTTTTTAAGCTTCTATGAAAAAGGACACTTTGAGTGCCTAGTCTAATGTCTGGCACTGGCACTTAATAGGAACTCTGTAGATATTTATGAAATCAAGTTGAATACTGAGATTATTTTCTCTTTAAGATGATGATTAATCCCGGAAAAGTCAACATTTCAAGCAACACTTCACCATTTGACCACATTGTAATTTAGATGACTGGCTCCAACCCCCTTTGTGTAGGTTTTGGTAGATACTACAAGGACGGAAGAAGACAGAATGAGGACACTGGGCAGGGGTGCAGGTGGGCGGCAGGGGCAGTGAGGGCTTTGAGGGGGAAACACCCTCTAGCTGCAACAATAGCAGGTTTTTTTATCCCCAACCACAGGAACCCAGTGCATCACAAATAGGAAACACCAGCCTGTGACAGGCAGCTGTAAACCCGTCAGTAAATCTGATTTTCAGTTCCCTGAAGGGTTTGCATGCCTAAATACCTCAATCCTGAGGCCTTTGGTCGTAACAGCTCAAAAGGTAAAAGTCAAAGACCAGAGTGGCTTCGAAGTATGTACTTTGGTATGTCCAAAAGTCTTCCCCAGAGCTCAAGCCAATCTCTGTAAAAATGGATATTTTATGTGAACTCTCCAAAAGGCTCCAAGAATTCTGACTCAGTTAAATCAAATTACAACTCACTTTAGGTGAGGGGAAAAGATCTTTGAGTGAAGCTCAGAACCAATCCTCTTCAGTCTGTGGCCTAAGGCTGGCCCACCACCCAATTAAGGCAGGAAGAATGTGATGTAATCACTAGTTTTTCTCAAGGTTGACATAATTGTTACTACGCATAAAAATTTACAAAAAAGGCCATAAGTCCATGGACAACCTAGAGCTCCCCCCAAACCACCAGTAATCTCTACACTGCCCTTAAAGAACAATGGTCTTAAGCTGCACTTTTTCAAAGTTTGAATGGAATGTAGAAATTTATTCTTATTGGACATGGTTTCATCACCAAAGTGACATTCTGAGACTGATAAGGAATCGTTCTATTTTACTAAAAATGAAAAAAAGTAAATTTATCTAGAGTTAGGGCCTTCATATGAGTTTTCAGAAAGTGAAAATGATCACAGAAGCTCCGAAGAGAGGATGCTGCTCTGGGCGACAGCGGGAGCTGCACTGGCTGCACTGAAGGAGCCCAGAAATGCCTGAGGCCTTCCATTCCATCCCTGGGGCAGCCTGCACACCCGGTGTTTCCAATTATTTTAGAAGGCAGCTGCTCTGGCTTCCACACAATTGCTCTGCCACCAAGTGTTCTACAGAAACGCCAGGTCCAATGTGATAGCTCTGGGTGGCCAGGGCCATGTTTTTTCATTTTTTCTTTCTTTTTTAAGAGATGGGGTTTCTTTCTTTTTTTTTTTTTTTGAGACGGAGTCTCCCTCTGTCACCCAGTCTGGAGTGCAGTGGTGTGATCTCGGCTCACTGCAACCTCCACCTCCTGGATTCAAGAGATTCTTCTGCCTCAGCCTTCCAAGTAGCTGGAATTACAGACGCACGCCACCATGGCCAGCTAATTTTTGTATTTTTTAGTGGAGACGGGGTTTCACCACGTTGGCCAAGCTGGTCTTGAACTCCTGACCTCATGATCCGCCTGCTTCGGGCTCCCAAAGTGCTGGGATTACAGGTGTGAGCCACCGCACCCAGCCAAAAGATGGGGTTTCTTTGTGTTGCCCAGTCTTGAACTCCTGGGCTCAAGGGATCCTCCTGCCTCAGCCTCCCAAGTAGCTGGGACAACAAAATTGTTGGAAGATTCCATAAAGCTTCCCCATGTGGCCCTTTAACAGTCGTCTGTTTTAAAAATTGGTTTTTAAACAGATTTAATGTGTGAAACTTATCTGATCTGGATTTGAACAAACCAACTGTAAAAAGTCATTTCTAAGCACAAAACAAATCTGATTATGGACTGCATAATTGATAATATCAAAAAATTAGTGTTAATTTTATTATCTATGATATCAGCATTGCATTTATGTAATATGTTTCTTTTTTAGTGATGCAGCTCACGTCTCTTTCATCTTTGAATTCCACATTACCAACATATAATAAACACATGTGTGCTGTGTTTAGCGTCATCTTTTCTCCTCAAGGCAAAAATAATCAGTTATGTAAAGGAGGTTGATCTCAAGCTGAATATGGAAAAGTTTAACCGAACAGCTTAAATGTAGGAAATTGAGGACCTGAAGAAAGTGAACATCAGGCACTAGAGGTCCGGGTCTACTGGGAGACTGACATCACTTGGAGATGAGTTGTTTCTCCACCAGGTGACAGGCTAATGGCACACACTGACAGTCCAGTGGTTTGTCAGCTGAAAGTGACCTGTACAGGAGAAAGCCAACAAAAGACCTAATGAAGCCCTCTCAGGATGTCTAGCTCCAAAATGGCCCCAGACTACGGCATCTTTAAGAAGTCAAGTCAGTTTCCAAGGGGTTCTAACTAGATCCCTTTGGCATGTCTCTCCTTAACTAACTCTAAACGTTTAGGGTTACCCTGATCTCCCAGGATGGTTTGTGCCCCAGCAGTCCAGAGCCCACTCCAGAATCTACATTCCGGGGTAAAATGCCTTCTTACAAAGGTCAGGAGCATGAATGCTTCTGAGGCAACCATGTGACCTAGAGTTATAGTAACTACAAGATGGGCTCTTGTGCCATCAAGGAATTCCATGAAGTACTAACAGGAGAATAATGGCCACTCTCATGCTACAAATGGGCCATTTCAGCATCACACCAAAAAGTTTTCAATACAATAATTTACGCTCTGAAAAGAAGGTACTTTTACTAAATAGGGAGAACAAAATGCAAGCACGCAAGCACACCCATCAGTGAATGACTCCGAGCGTCCATAACTTTCTAAACACCAAACTAACAAAAATGATTGACGCATGGTAAGTGCTCAAGCGTTTGACAGTTTGTTATTCAACGCCCAATGTGCAAATAGTATTAACATTTTTGTCCATTAAGATAAAATTTTGGCTAACATCTTTCTCATTAGAAATTTAAAACGAGGCTGGGCGCAGTGACTAATACCCATAATCCCACCACTTCAGGAAGCCTAGGAGGGAGGATCTCTTGTACCCAGGAGTTGGAGGCTGCAGCGAGCTATAATAGCGCCACTGCGCTCCAGCCTGGGCAACAGAGCGAGAACTTGTCACTTTAAAAAAAAGGGGGGGAGGGTGGGCCGGGAACGGTGGCACACGCCTGTAATCCCAGCACTTTGGGAGGCCAAGGCGGGAGGATCACAAGGTCAGGAGTTCGAGACCAGCCTGGCCAATATGGTGAAACCCGTCTCTACTAAAAAATACAAAAATAAGCCGGGCGCCTCTAGTCCCAGCTACTCAGGAGGTGGAGCCAGGAGAATCGCTTGAATCCGGGAGGCGGCGGTTGCAGTGAGCCGAGATCACGCCACTGCACTCCAGTCTGGGTGACAGAGCAAGACTCCATCTCAAAAAAAAGGGGGGTGGGGGGGAGAAATTTAAAACAGTATGAGTGGAAATGTTCTCACATTCAGTGCATCCTCCAACAGGATTTGTAAGCTAAAGTTGAAAGATCCTTTTCAAAGACAGATCTTTTTCACTTTAAAGGAATGAAAAAATTAAAATTAAGCACTAAGTAACAATACTGACATGATGCTTGCTTCGTGTTTTACACATTAATTCATTAATCCTTGTAATAACCTTTTAAGTACCATCATTATCCCCATTTTACGGTAGCGGAAACAGTACATTGAGGCAAGGCAGCTGAGTAACTACGTTTGATTTAGTGGTCGAGCCAGGATGCCTAGGCAATCTGGCGCCAGAGTCTCGGCCTGTGGTTCCCAGGCGTTGGTGCCCACTGGAATCCCCTGGGGATCTTTAAAACGCCGTCTCCAGGCACTCTGGTCAACAGGTAGGGGGTGAGACCTGGGCATCAGAACTCTGAAAGGTTCCCAGGTGATTCTAAGCAAAGTTTGGGAACCGCTGGGTATTAAAAGCATTCCTAAAGTTCTGTCGCTTCTCCTGCTTAGGAGTTCCTTCGCCGAGGCGCTGAGCTCACGGCAAAGGTAGAGAAAGGACGCAACGGGGAGGGGCGGCCAGCCTTGCCAAGGGTTAGGCCGGCGAGCCGGGCGTGAAAGCCGAGACGCGGCGCGGAAGGCTGTGGCCGGAGGGTGCAGGCTGCTGCGCGGTGCGATCCGACTCGGGGAGGGTGGCTGGCCCAGCTCCAGGTGCGCACGAGCAGGTGTCTGCTGGGCCGAGGGGCGCAGGCCACTGTGCCGCGGGGGCGGAAGCGGTGAGGCGCGCTGGCTTCTCACATGACTTCCCTCCAGGGCCCAGCTGATGCTGCCGGGAAAGGACCGCAGGGTCCCACACCCCCCCCGGGCGCTCCGCTGCGCCGCCGAGCGCCTCCCGGTCCTGGGGGGTGCGCGTCACAGGCGGCCCGCAGGGACCTAAGTTACTTTGCGCCGCCCGACGCGAGGACGCCGGGAAGTTCGTTACTTTCCTCGGCGGGGCGGGGCGGGGAGGTGCGGGACAGGACGGACCCTGGACCGTGGCGCGGGGAAGGGAGCGAGGCAGGGGCATCCCAGGCGGCGGCCCGGCCCCCTCAGGTCCCTTTTCGTCGCCCACCGTATACCCACCCGGAGGTGAAATCCTGCTGCACGCTCAGCAGCCGCTCGCGAAGGGTCTCCAGCATTGCCGCCGCCGCCGGTCTCCTCTCCTCAGGCCTCGGGCTGCTGCTGCCTCTGTCGCCCCCTGGGTCCCACGCCGCCAACCCCGCGCTGTCACCGCGCGCCCCGCACTCCCACTACCGGCCCCGCCCCCGGTCTGGTCCTCGCCGCCGCGCCGCAACCCCAGCCCCTTCCGCGTTCCCGCCCCGCGCGCGCCAGGCTCGCGCAGCCGCAGTGGACTGCGCCGGGCTCGGGCTGCGGAAAAGGGGCGGGTCTTCCCCCGACCGAGAGGGCCAGTAGCTCCTCGGCTCATTCCTATCCCGCACCAGGCCTTCTCGTTTTTTTTTTTTTTTCTTTAAAATGGAAGCGGCATCGTGAAAGGATGATTTAACTCGAAGCCTCCTTTGAGGGAAGTGTTGGCTTTTACGTTTTGGAAGAGAATTGGATCTCTCTCTTCAATAGGCGATGTGCACAAATCATTGCATGGATTCTAGGTCCAGGATCTGACCCCACTGGCTTTCACCTTGAATGAGACAGTCAAATATTGAGCCTCGGTTTCTTCATTCATAAAATGGCAATAATAGTCGACTGTCTCGACATTCTTACTTTCCACTCTCTCTTTACCCCCCCAGGCTTTTGTGCCCTACACACCAAAGGTGATCGCCTTTCGCGAGTCACCAGTGACTTCCATGTTGCTGATGCCTTTTATTACTTCTCTGCCCTGATTTTTTCTCCACCTCTCAGTGGCTTTCAATGCAGTTTATCATCCCCATCCTTAAAACACTTTCTTCTCTTGCTAAGCACTCCATAGTTCCTCTCTCCCTTCCGCTCCACCCCTTCTCCTATTTTAATAGCCACTCCCAAGGCTACAGTCCAGCCTCCCCAGCTCTTCTCTCTTCTCCAGATGTGTTGTTCCATAGATGGATAGCATAGAGTCTATCCATTACCACGCTGTAAATTCTGTCAAGGAACCGATGACTCCCACAGCTCTATCTTCTGCCCTGTCCTTCCTCCCTCTCCGTCAATTCATACCAGTTGCTTACTCATGTAAGCATGTATACAACATGTATCCAAAAGGCATCTCAGACCAACATACACAAAATTGAAAATTTCATTCATTGCATGTTCACCTTTAATCTGCTCATCCTGTATTTTCCGTTTCAGTAAATGACACCACCATCCACCAATTTGCTCAAGGTAAGACACTTGAAATCACCTCTGGTTCCCCTCTTTTCCTCATTCCCCATATTAACCCATCAAATCCAATCAACTCTACTCCTGAAGTATTTCTGGAACCTCCTTCTCTTTCTATATCTTCACTATATTTATCCTGGTCGAAGGCACCATCCTCTTTCAATGGGAACACAGACAGTTCTTCCAGATTCTACTCTTTTGCCATACACACCCCTATAATCCATCCTTGACACAGCAGCCAGAAAGAGTTATTTAAAAGATCAATCGGATCACGTTGCTCCCCTGCTTAAAATCTTCCAATTGCCTCCTGGGCACTTGGAATAAAATTCAAACTACTTACCCCCTTAAAAAGCCCTAAAATTTGAATGTTTTCTAGCACTGTATCCAAATTGATTACTAGTCACCTATCATGTCCTTGACAATTAAGACATAATAGCCTTTTTTTTTTTTTTTTTTTTGGTGTGTTCTTAGAAAATTCCAGGTTTATTTCCACCTGTGGTGTTTTCACAAACTTTTCTCCAAACTGTCCCTTGTCTGGCTCCTTATAACATAAGGGTCACATCCTAAATAGCATCACATTAGATAGGTTTTACTTACCATTCAAGTTACACACCCAATCACTTCCTATCACGTAGCCTGTTTCTCAACTTAGTACACATTAGAAAATTTATTCAATAATTATTTGCTATTTATTAATTTAGTTGTTTACAAACATATTTTAAAACCACGACAAATAAGGCATTCACCTCAGGTACAAAATTTACGGGAGCCAAAAAGCTCAGTAATCAAGATAAGTAATATTTTAATACAATATTTAAAAAATTCAAAATTAATGAAAAAAAATCTGTGATGAACAAAATATCAAAATTTTAAATACACAGGATCTGTTAGGGCTGGGATTGGATGAGGCCAGTGAGGTAAGTAGCACAAGTACAGGCCCAGATGTAAACTGCTCTGTCTTATTAAGCTTTGCATCCCCAGCAATGAAAACAGTGAATGGCACATAACAGACACCCAGTAAATGTCT
Source organism: Homo sapiens (assembly GCF_000001405.40). Lineage (NCBI taxonomy): Eukaryota > Metazoa > Chordata > Mammalia > Primates > Hominidae > Homo > Homo sapiens. Next base: position 15,665,065 of record NC_000006.12, read on the forward strand.
TGTTGCAGGAGTTAAATAAGATAAAGGACTTAGCTTGTAGCTGGGGGACCACCTCTTCCCCACTCTTGATGTTTTCTTCCATGGGAAGGGAGCTCTTCTGCTAACATAAAGAAGTACCCAGCCTCTCCTGGTGGGGAAGAGGTGACTACGATGATTAGTGAGCTAGAAGTAAGGAGCTTGGTCTCATCTTCTTTTCTTTTTGTTGAGTGAACACTTCCAACAAAGAGCATTCATTCTGCTGCCTAAAGACAGGCTTGAAGGGCAACCCAGTGCTTTTTGTGACTGGGTACTAGAAGTTCTGCTTGCCCATGAATATAAGCCATGTGTTCCATCAGTCTTCCTAGATATAAAAGTGATATTTTGGCCTCTTTATGCTGACACTATTGTTTTATTTCTCAGTTTGCTCAGACAAGTAAGAAAGAGGAGTGCTGTTTATTGAGCCTTCTTCTACCTCTCAGAAACAGTGCCTGGAACAAAGCAAGTGATCAAATGATCAAATCTACAGACAGGTCCCTTAGTATCTAGTAGATTTGAAAACCACAAGTACTGGGAAATATTAAATTTTTTTCTTTTATTCAATTAAACTCTACACATAAGCTTTCAATTTACTAAGTTTCATACATTCCAACAAAGCACCAAATCCACTCAAAAAAGACTCTTGCCTGTCACTAAAAAATAGCTTTACTGGTTGTGCCTGATCATTTCTGTCTTGACCAATGCACTGTTTATTAGTCTATGGCATGTTTGTATTTGAGGTGCTTTCTGAACATTCTTAATTCCATCATATCTATTAAATTAAAAAACAGTGAAAGTTTTAAAAGTGCTAATAAAAAGATAATTTATGATTTAAAGAAGTAAATATTAAAAAAATTAGAAAATAACTACTGTTGTACATGAGTTGCTCAGGAGGAATGATTAAGGACCAAGAGTTGAAGCATGTGACATGTCGTGTTTACATAAGTAACAGTAATCAGCCAGAAACTAGGAAGATGGATT